>NC_000012.12:70641946-70793461 GCF_000001405.40 Homo sapiens
TGGTCACTCAATATTTCTGTACAGCCTGGTTTTTCTGTCACTCACCACTCTAGTCTCCCTCTTCTACAGGCTATTTTATCAAATATGACCTTCTTAGAGAGTTGTGTCTCCTTCTGATGAGATCTATGAAGCAGGCTTATTTTCTCTTCCAGCTGCACGTTAGAGACCAATAGATCTGTGTTTGCAGGTGCATCAGGTGGTGAGGTCCCCCAGTGCCTACATGGTGCCTGGTTCTCGGTAGTATTTTAAGATACTAACTGACGGTGTAGATTAAATAAAAAGTCAACAAGACTTTTTTTGAATGTGGACATTATAGCTTTCTCCCATCCTGTAATTATGCTACTGGATTTTTGAAACTAAATGCAAGGCTTTCTATTTATTCTTGTTAATTTCAACTTGTTAGTTTCAGCACAATGCTCTTGTTTACTGGATCACTATCTATCGTCAATATATTAGTCTTCCATTTCTCACTCCCAGCGTTGTGTCTCCCAGGTATTTAACAAGGATCCCTTACATCTTTTTATCTAAGGCATTATTAAAAAATAGAAAAAGAGACAAAGTAGGGTCTTTAATATGAGTAAGTTGATATCATGATATATACTATCTAATCCCATTCTATAATTATTTCCAACTAGGTTGTAGGTCCTTTAAAGACCTACAAGCATAATGGCATGGTCTTCTTCTACTTGTAACAATAAAAAGCACTTACGAGTCCTAGGTAAATACTTGTCAAATGAATTACCCAGGTCATGCTATTTTCATGTCATGTGAAAACAGATAAACTCTAGGCTAAAAGAAAGCAAAAGGTATTCCAGGATGCATTCACTGGAGGCTGGTTCAAATTCAGGAACTCATCATAATCATCTCTGAAAATATTAAATAAATGTCCTATTGCATATATTGATATATAGAATAGTCTATTGGCTGGATGCAGTGGCTCATGCCTATAACCCCAGCACTTTGGGAGTGCTGGATGGATCACTCGAGCCCAAAGTGGGAGGATCACTTGAGCCCAGGAGCTCGAGACCAGCCTGGGTAACATAGTTAGACCCTGTCTACAATTTAAAAGAAAAATTAGCTGGACATGGTGGTATATGCCTGTGGTCCCAACTACACAGGAGGTTGAGGCCAGAGGATAGCATTTGCTCTATAACAGGTAATCCATTCTTAGAAAGGTCAACAGAGTCTTCTTTCTTCTTATTTTTGATATGGGGTCTTGCTTTGTTGCCCAGGCTGGAGTGTAGTCATGCAATCACAGCTCACTGCAGCCTTGGCCTCCCAGGCTCAGGTGATTCTCCCACCTCAGCCTCCCAAGTAGCTGGGATGACAGGTGCATGCCACCATACTGAGCTAATTTTTTCTGTGTGTGTGTGTTTTTTGTGTTTGTTTTGTTTGTTTTGTTTTTTAAGAGAGAGAGAGGGTTTTGCCATGTTGCCCAAGCTGGTCTTGAACTCCTAGGCTCAGGCAATCCATCCACCTCAGCCTCCCAAAGTGCTGGGATTACAGGCATGAGCCACCATGCCTGGCAAATGCAGTTTTTTAGATAGGCTGGTCATAGCAAAAAAAGAAACACCTAAGAAGCTAGTACAGTGTCTGTATACAAAATATATTTATGGAATAAATGTATAAAGCTTGGTTAACTATGGAACTCTCAAGAGAGCTCTATAGTTATTCATCCTCAGGAGAGCTCTGACTTGACTCCAGGAAGCTCTTAGGTCAGATAGGTTTCATGGATTTGCTAAAATCTGGATCTATATTACTGATATAAAGTTCCCAATACAAAGTGGTTCTGGGAGGTGAGAAACAAGGGTACTCTTTTTCTTACTTTTTTTTTCTTTTTCTTTTTGGGGCAGGGTCTCACTGTGTCATCCTGGCTGGATCGTGGCTCACTGCAGCCTCAACCTCCCAGGTCAACTGATCTCCTTAGCCTCCCAAGTAGCTGGGACTACAGGTGTGCACCAATATGCATGCACCTTAAATTGCAAACAGAAGTGAAACTTACCTCAGGTTCATATCTGATAAATGCTTATGTTAGAACTAAAACATAACCCCAGCCAATCATAAGCATCCAACTCACATATTGTTATGTCAGTAAGGACTTTCCAATACAGTACCTGAAAAAAGGCAATTATGTAATTGCAAACCAACCAAATAAATTGTTTGTTTCTGTACTTTCCCAATAAATACTTGCCTCTGGCGTTTTGTCATTGGAACACTAAACCTCTTTTGGTCTGGTGTTTCCCAATGTATGACTGGCTTCTTACTAAATAAACTCTTTAAAATTTTATTGTGCGTCAGATATTTCTTTTCCAGTACACGTTTGTTTTCCCAGGAGGTATAATACATTAAGTGAAAATACCTACTGCTAAGCAGGAGTTAGTTTACCAAAAAAGAGTAAGGTCAAATAAAAATGTCAAGAGAACCCCAGCTAGCTGAGAGAATGGTGCCAAGTTCATTACCAGGGGGGACCAGAGTATGTTAAGAGGGAAAAAGACAGCATACACTGTTGTCAAGACAAATTCTGTCTCCACCACTTACTAGATATTTTACCCAACTACACAATCTCTGCAGTGCTCAGTTTTTTCATCTGCAAATGATGCGACAATAAAAACAATAGTTCCTACTTTATAGCATTGTTGTGAGAAATAAATGGGACTATCACTTAACATGTTTAGCACATAGCCAAGCACATATCAATACCATAAATGTCAACTATTATTATTGTTATTGTTATTGTTACTCTTTGGTACCATCTGGTCAAATAGGACTGGTTAGGAGGCTCTGGAGTGAGGCCCCCAAAGACCCTGGAGAACCAAGAGCAAATCTGGCAGAGGACATTAGTTTGCCCATTAAGTTCCAAATATCTTTCTAAATATTGACCAGCCTAGAAGACAGGCACAGTGGAGGCAGATGATGAAAATAGTAGGCTTGGAGTCTGACAGATTCAGGTTTGAATCCTTGTTTTTTTAACTTACTTAGCTAAATGATTTTAGACAAGTCATTTAGTCCTTCCCAACCTGGCTTTTCTCACTTGTAAAATGGCATAAATGACAAACGTCATCGGGTTGTGAGGATTAAATGAATCAGAGCATATCAATGTCTGGCTGAAGGCTATTCACAGAATCCCCAGAAGCCCAGGGTTCTACAAAGGTGGCTGAGGACCCTGGGCAGGGCAGAGGAGGAGGATGGGTCATTAGGACTAGATGCCAATCCCAGCTTTGACCAGGGAAGTTGTGTTTTTTATTGGTTTTCTGTGTTGGTGTTCTGTGGAAGATTCTGCCTGCAAAAAGTTTTCCATTGTTCACAAAGAAGTTTGAAAACCACTGGCCTGGCTAATAAGGTATTTAGGTATTTATCTAATAAGGCTTCAAGTTTTACAAGGTTTAAATGAGAGAATCCACAAAACTCTTGGCACAGTAACTGCCCTTCAGTGAGTACTAAATAAATGCTGTGTATTATTTTTCTTATTCTTAGTTAATACGACACCTAGGGTAACCATGTTTGGAAGAGTTGTGGTTCATTGGTGTTGTCCTGGTGTCATTATCAATTGGGTCACCTTTCACTCTCAGAAGTACCTTGGTTTGGATGATAAATTATTTGTTCATCCTAATGATGCCCCATTCCATGCTGTGGAAGAAAGTCATTCCCTTTATTGCAAAAGTGGTGTTAGCCACGTGGCTTGGATTTCTTTGTGCCCACAGACTATGAAATGCTGTGTTTGGCCAGGCCAGAGAGGATTCAGATATACTACCCTCCTATAAATGTCAGATAATCTCATATCACATTAGCCCTGCCAAATACAAAGATCAGTGTCGTCTCAGTCTCCGTGCAGAACAGCACGTAGCTGTGTCAGCTGGGGGTAAACTCAGGTTAGAAAGGGAAAAAAAAATGTAGTTTTTTCCCTTTGCTACTGGGAGGGTGTTTTGAAAAAAACCTCTCCAGATGCCCAGGAGAGAGATTTGGCTTTTAACATGTTAAAATTTTGACCTTTTGTGACTATTCACTCACACATACAGAGAGCAACAGCCTTTCCTGTCGTACCGCCCAGCCCGTATCCGGTCTAATCAGTAGACAGAAGAAATTCTGCAGTGATGACTCACTTCTGGGCTAACAATGAAACTTATGCTCCTTTGCTTTTTATTATTTTCAAATCTGGAATTCTTTTGGTAAAGTTTGGTACAGTAAATTTAGAACAAAAGGTGTGGACGTTAATGTGCCTCCTGGGTAAAGTTCCAAGAGCTTGGGCATGAGTCAAGTGAGGCTACTGTCTGCTGTGCTTAGCCGGGGTCAGCTGTAAGGTGTGTCTGGCCCCTTGGACAGAGGATTTCCCATGGCTTTACACAGATGTCATATCAAGGAGGGAGAACTTAAATGTAAATTTGGCCAATTCTGACCAGGTATTTTGAACATAGACACCTTCTCCAAAATAGATGTGTTCTAAAGTATTTGTAGGTCATAAAAATCAGCATATATCAAATGATAATTCAATTGATGAGTCTAACATATTTTGAGTTCCATTTTTTTTTCCTCTGAAAATTAGCCGTTTTCCTCTGAACACTCAAGTTAACACCTAATTAACTCCAAGCTAGGAAGAAGGAAAATGTCCTGGCAGCCACTTGGAAGATTCAGTCAGCATAATATGTTTTACAAAGTAGACCTCTTGTTGTGATCTCAGGAATTATAATGTCAAGTAAATCCACACCAATTTCTAGGGCTTTATCTCCAAGTGTCCTTAAAATAAGCAAATCAAAATGTTGAATTCCTGATCTTCAAATGAGATCTTTGAAGTTCATTAATTAGAGGAATCTTTGTGATTATTTGGGAATGCAGAGAAATATGGATAAATGTAAGGTTACAGTTGATAAACCTTAGACCAACAAGCAGAAACTTTAGTTTTGAAATTATTTCAACCAGGTTTTGGAAACAAAAAATATGTTGGGGACATATATTAGCCTTGGAAATTGATGGCATATATATTCTTCTGAGATGGCTGTAGTTAAAAAAAAAAAGAAAAGAAAATCATCGAACTGAAGTGACTAATCAAAACATTTAAACAATGATATGATGCACATTGGAAGCATCTTTTTATCCTGTGTGGGAAGCCACAAGTGAGGCCTTTGGATGTCATTCCAGTTTAAGCCCTCTAAGGTAAGGATGTACAGGCAACTACAAATTCCATCCTTGACTCTTAAAAAGAAGGATTTGACAGATAATTTCCTGCTACTCAGGAAGAAAAAAAAGAGGAAAAAAAAGGCCTTGGAATAAGATATTATTTTATATGTTTCACTTCCCAGGTTCTGTTTTAAAATTCTTCCAGTGTCCAGTTGCCAATGGGATTAAAAGGAAAACGATGAGGAAAAAGTTATCTGAGGTCAATCTGCAATGGAATATGTTCCTTTCCTGCCTGCTTAGATGTCTTCTGATAGTCACGAATTGATTTGTAGTCATACTTCTGTAATATCTATATGCATGTGAAGCACTGTCTGATGTTAAAATATAAACATCATCTATAGTAATAAACTGAGACACTGCATCTCTCATGCTAAATGTGTAAATGACCTTCTGTCACTATCTCAAACTGTAGAACCTTGACATACCCAAGCCTAAATGAATCTTTTTTAGCAAGAGCTACATGCAGCGAAGCTGGTTGGCTTAGCTTTATAGCAATTGGTATTTTTAACTAGGTGGTATAGTTGAACAATTTAGTGATATTTGAGATTAGAAGGTTTAAGTATTATATGGAAGGGCTTTCTAAGTAATAAAAAATGATTATACTGTGTTCAGTTTAGTACTAATGTTATGGATCTTTTTTTCAACTATAATTTTAAAAAATTGACCTATACATTTACGGTAATCTCCTGTTAATAGGAAAATGTGATTGAGCAAAATATCCCTTTTGCAACAATGCTGGCCAACAGAAAGTTCATTGTACTTATCATATTCAGATATTAATAAGTAATCTAAACTAAAATAATCAGAGATAAACAATTTTTCCTGGTTTATATAGCAACTAGTTCAGGGTCATTGCTGAAGGCAGGATTAGAATGTGAACTTCCTCTCTCTTCATCTTGAGTGTAACCCACTTAGGCTTCCCACTGCAGAAAACAACAGCAGAACCCCCAAAATCCAGAATTTAGTCAATCTAATTTGAGCAAAATTGAAAGTTCAGTTCAGAGTGTTTTATAAAAACTTCAAAATTGGTCATGTGGCCTTGGAGATGTCCCCTTTTTTGGTTTTGGATTCTTCCTTTAGAATGAAAACTTTGGGCAATATATTCCTGAGGCTAGATTTTAAAAAAAAACCCACCCTTTTCCTAGGAGATGTTTGGCAAATGTTATGACTATTGCGGCTATCCCATTGTTCTCCACATAAACAAATCTTCAAAGACTCAAAGAAAGCAAGAGCTGAGAGGGATCTCAGAAAGCCAGTTGGTCACTCTGCAATCACTGAATTCCAGCATGGAAAAGCATCTTGTTAGAGGAGTCCTGACATCCACTTAAGCTTTGTTGTGAGTCACACAATGAATATTAACTTGCAAGCATTAAAATACAACAATCAGGTGGAGGTCCATGAAATATCTTACTCTTGATAGTAAGATATTTCTGGTTTTTATACCAGAAAAGGTTGGAGATCACTGTTACGCCCCACATCTCCTTTTACTATGTAGACAGAGAGGCCTAGAGTGGACAAATGGTCACACAGAAAATTAGGGGGCAGAGCCACGCACCAAGCTCCTTGACATCTAGTCCAGAGATGTCCGGCACCTCATTCTTTTGCTAGTCTTACCAGTGTTCAGTTGCAATTGCCATACCACCCACTTCATCTTTTAATTAAAAGCGAATGCAGTGGGAATGAAGGGATGATCCCTTAATGCCCTTCTAAATAAAACATTCGTGGGTGCCTTGCACTGAATTTGAACTCCTACTTGGAAAAAAAAAAAGAAATCTTATTTTAGTTCAAAATATGCTCAAAAGTATTAGTAAAAGGAGAATCACAGACTCATGAATCTGCAATGAGAACTGAGCATCTATTAATAGAAGTTGTCACAAAGCCAATAAAAATAATGTCTTGCCAGAGAATGAGGAATCTACCAAATGGTTTTGTCATTGTTATACTGGAAATATCCATTCAGCATAACACATTCGTCTCTGAACCAGACCATTTGAATTTATTACTAAAATGCAGATTTTTAACTTGAGTAGAAATTGCTTGTTCTTTTCATGTTAAATTACAATGACCAGGCATTGTAATTTTTGGGGTGGTGGTGGTGGAAATCAAAATTTTAATCCTATCCAGTGTTCAAGCTCTTGACTGATCGGTCATGAAATGAGCCCCATTTCAAGTATCCAAATCACTGCCTTGTCTTTTTCTTTGCTGTTAGCCATACCTGGACTCCTCAGAGGAGGCAGCTACAAGTGGAGAGGGGTAGATTATAAGAATAAGATGCACAGTATGCAGCCTTCATTGCTAGTGGTTGGAGGTTGTTAAAAAAGAGTAGAAAAGGATAGAGGAAGGCCTGTGAAGCTCGTATTCTGCCGAATACAAAATATCAGCCTTCTGATATACTGGTTCTGTCTTTTCTCTCTCTTATTACACTTAGCTGCTTTTAATTAGTTGGTTCCACCATTCCTTTCCCACCACCTTTGTTTTTTTGAGTCTCACTCTCTCGCCCAGCCTGGAGTGCAGTGGCGTGAAGTCGGCTCACCACAACTCTGCCTCCTGGGTTCCAGCAATTCTCCTGCCTCAGCCTCCTGAGTAGCTGGGACTACAGGTGTGCACCACCATGCCTGGCTAATTTTTGTGTTATTAGTAGAGATGGGGTTTCACCATGTTGGCCAGGCTGGTTTTGAACTCCTGACCTCAAGTGATCTGCCTGCCTCATCCTCCCAAAGTCTGGGACTACAGGCCTGAGACACCGTGCCGGGCCCTTTTCCTCTTTTTAGGGGTCCAGGTTCAGGCTTAAATTACTATCCTATCTCTAGTCTTCTCTTCACCACAAAGCTTCTTGAAAGAACAGCTTATCTTTATTATTACAACTTCTTTCCCTCTCATTTAGATGGTTCTTGAGGAAATTCATCTGTGGTCAAATAAATGTGAAAGAGTGCTTAAATAAAATTAAAGGAGTTTCTACATTGGAAGATTTTAGATTTTTTAATGCATTAATGCTTATTGTGAGTCTCCGAGTGGGGAAGACTTCGAAGAAATATAGTGTAGGGCTGGGTGCCATGGCTCATGCCTGCAGTCCCAGCACTTTGGCAGCCCGAGGCAGGTGGATCACCTGAGGTCAGGAGTTCGAGACCAGCCTGGCCAACATGGTGAAATCCTGCCTCTACTAAAAATACAAAAATTAGCCGGGAGTAATCCCAGCAACTCGGGAGGCTGAGGCAGGATAATCGCTTGAACCCAGGAGGTGGAGGTTGCAGTGGGCCCAGATAATGCTACTGCACTCCAGCCTGGGTGACAAGAAAGAAATTCCATCTCAAAAAAACAAACAAAACAAAACAAAATATATATATATATATAAACAGCTTTTCCCCGAACTTAGTCAAGAACCTACTTTGTGCCTGAACGCCACCAAGAGGGTTTGGCTTAGGAGGCTCTCAGTAAATAATTGTTAATTAAACTATGTCCTGAGAAGGACAATCTGGGAAACTGGGAAAGCTGGTTAAGACACCCATTTTTCTACACCCAGGTGCCTGATTCATGCTCAGTAGCAGATGTCTAGTGATGCCTGTTGAATGGATGAATGTATGCAGGATTCAGGAGCACCACTCTGTGCAGAGGTCTCAGATGCCTGTTCCACAGAACACAGGATGCAGGCCCATCTATTAGGTTGGTGCAAAAATAATTATAATAGCAAATACCCCAATTACTTTGGCACCAAACTAATACAAACACTCATTCCATTCTAAAAATATCCTAAGACAGAGTTAGCTTCAAGGGATCGTGACCAGTGCAGTCATATACCTCTCACCTTCTTGTGCTGAGAAGGACCCTGAACTTGGGTTAATGCTTTGCTGTCACTGTCTTGAAGTATTTGATACTTTTTAATCAACAGATGCCACATTTTCATTTTATACTGGGCCTCACAAATTATGTAGCTGGTCCTGCCCACAGTGTCCCTTGGAGTGCTCTTCAGCTCTGTCTTAGTGCCGCTTGCTTTCCCAAGACAAGCCATGAGCTTATCTAACAGTCTCCTTGATTGAAGGACCTCGCCATGGCGTGTCCAGCATCGGAAGCCCTCTTCAATTTCCCTTCACCAAAACCCAAGTTCTGAATGTATTCCTAATGCCAGGAGTTACACTCTCTCCAGCTACCACACTGAAAAGAACAGATCACTTCGTTTAGATTGAAGCGTTAATAGCATAGTAGATATGAAGTGTTATGCCATCTCCCATCTCCAGATTCAATAAACTTTAGAAAAAGATAATTCTTTTAAAAGAATCCATCCAAGATTAGCTCTTTACTAGCAGTATTTTAGACATTCGCTATACATTTTAGCATCCTCCATAGATAGATATTTTAAGAAGCAGCAATGTTTTGTCCCTCAAATTGTACTCTTAAGGCAGTTGCCGACAACGTCACTCCAACTATTCATAAAGGAGCTCTCATTTATACTAAAAACTGTTTTAAAAATTATGGTGTCCCGTTGTCATTGCATTTTGTTTTTAAGAGGTGGAGTTTTGCTATGTTGCCCAGGGTGGGTGGCCTCGAACTCCTGGGCTCATTTGTTTAAAATGGCAGAGTATTATCAAAGAGATATGTTTTTGTCAAGAAGTTTTACAATAAACATATTCCAAAAGCCTATTTACTTTTCTATAAGATTGATAAAGATCAGAGAAATAATTAGAGATCAGGCAAATGTCCCAGATTCCAATAGGTCCATTTTGTTACTTCCCAAGCTACTTGACTTTGGACAAGTTACTCGCTATCTCGAATTCTTTGGTTCCTCATTAAAAAAAAAAAAATTAGGCCAAGATGCTTCTTTTCCTTCACTTGGGTTTATTTTGGGAGTTAAATAAGTCATGTGCTTTGAAGACCATGGTGAAGAGTCCATGATTAAATACATTCTGTATGTATTAAATACATAGTGCATTCTGGAATCTCTGGACAGATTCAGAGCTGAAGGTAAGGATAGCCAGGAAAATCGGAATTTGGGGACAAGGTTTGAACAAGTGATGAAGAAAGATATGCTGCAAGTGCATAACGGTAGACATTTGGATTGGCTGAGACCAGTTTTCCCTTTACTGCCATGAGCCAAAAACATGGTTAATGGCAGCAGTTAGCCACACATTGGAATTTTTAAAATGAGGTATGATAGGAAAAAGCTGAAGGACTGGAACAAGAGGCAAGAATAATGTGGGAGAAAAAGAAGTAAGATGAGGTGAAACGAAAGGGATAGGTTTTCTGTTCTGCTTTTCATAACAACTAGAAGAGTGTACAACAGAAGGAAGAGACAAGAAAAGGAAAACATATGTTGATCCTGTGAAGGAAGGAGGCTGGAGGAAAGACCTTTCAAAGGAAGGTTCAAGGAGAGGATCTGTTTCATAAACAACAGAAACAGCTGCTCAGAAAGAATGCAGAAAGGGTCTTGATGAAGAAATCAGAATGATTTTGATGCATATATTGGCAGTCATTCAAACTCAAGGGGGTTGGGTGCCTATAGGCTTCAGATCAGCAGAGAAGTTGGATGTGTTTTCAAGATCCTATCAGAAGTGAAAAGACAAGACCTCTGGGAAGACCTTGGTGGTGACGGAAGGCCAAGGCTAAGGTTTCTGACCATTTGCTTTAGGAAGGAAGGAGCAGATAGAGGAGGCATTGTGATGTGGTTTAAAAAAATGCATTTGTAATTCCATTCAAAACTAGAGGACAATTTGTTAGACCTGAAAGGGGAATGTGACTGGGAAGTGGAACCCAAGGTGGAGGTCAGGCTATGAAAGTGGGCAGGGGAGGTGGGAGATGGGAGGGTGAGCAGGCAAGAATTAATGGTAACATAACAAGAGCCAAGAAAAAGAGCAAACCAAGCCTGTTTTTCAGCACGTTCTTCCAAATAGGATCAGAACAGGTGTTGCTGGAGGCCAGCTTGGTTTGGAGTCACTTTAGATCCATGCATGTGTTTGGCATTCATGGAGTTCTGGCACTAAACAAGAACACAGGACTCCAAGGTATGAACTGGAGTCCCCGGGTGATTTGGGGTCTCAGGTGGCAGCCTTGTCTACAGAAGCACAAATCAGGACAGATGAAAGTCAATGTGGGAGCAGCTCTGGCTGACTGAGTGCTGCTTCTCCCCCTCAGAGTTAGGGCCCCTTTCCTGTGTGAAGACAGGCCCTAAAATTTGAAGTGAAGCAACTGATCCTATTCCAGCTGAGGTGGACTACACAGGATGGAAGGCAAAGGAATATCAGGAGATTAAGGCAGCAATTATAAGAGGAGAAGGGATAATTGGAACTGATCTTTTTTATGTACCAAAAGAAAACATTTTTGGAAGCAGTTACATGTGGGGTGTGGTAAGAGGGAAGCAGGATTGGGGGGTAAAGAGAGGATAAGCAATGTAGGCTGAGTGTTCTACTAAATACATTTCAGGTTTAATGTCATTTAAATGTGGCTGAAGTCCTGTGAGTTATACATTACTATTTCCAGTTTACAGGCACATGTTAGGTTCCTTGCTACGTATAGTGATAACAACTGTGGAAACTTGATTGAATGCTTATTACACACCAGGCATTTCACATAGGTCATATCATCTTTTCATCCTTACAATAATAATAGGAAATATATACTACTATTACTCCAATTTTCCAAATGAGAAAACTGAGGCATGGAGAAGGGTAGTAACTTGCCCAAGGCCATACAACCAAAAAAATGGTGGAATCTGGGATGTAAACTCAGGCAGGCAATCTGTTTCCAGAGCCCAGAATGTTAATCGCCATGATGAACTGCTTCTAGAGTTTACATGCTAACAGAAAGAGAAAATAATAAAGAAAGAAACAAACATAGTAGAAAACAAACAGGGAAGATACGGTTAGAAAGACTTAGAGGCTACTGTCTAAAAAGGAGACAAGAATGTTACAGATGGGAAGGGAAAAACTAATCTGGATAGGGAAATTTGAATGTTTATTTTTTTAGAGGTAAGAGAAACTTCACAGATAATTTTAATAATAAAGATGATAATAACATAACAAACATTTATTGAGGGCTTACTATGTGCCAGACTCTATTCCAAGTGTTTTACATATATTATCTCATTTTTCAGAATAATCTTCTTGTCTTTTTTATTGAAATGCCAGGACATAGCACATAGTGCTCAAAGCATATTTGTTGAAAAAAAAATCTCGAAAGGTAATTATATGGCCTGGCACGGTGGCTCACACCTACAATCCCGGCACTTTGGGAGGCCAAGATGTGAGGATTGTTTGAGTCCAGGAGTTCGAGACTGGCCTGGGCAACATGGCAAAGCCCCAGCTCTACAAAAAATACAAAACTCAGCTGAGTGTGGCACACGCTTGTACTCCCAGGAGGTCAAGGCTGCAGTGGGCCATGATCACGCCACTGCACTCCAGCTTGGGCAACAGAGCGAGACTCTGTCTCCAGGAAAAAAAGAAAGGTTAGTGTATAATTTTATCTTTTTAGAAAACTCTAGGTCATAGGGCTGAAGCTCAAGGGAATCAATGCCTGTGTCCCTCTTTGTTTTATTACTTCACAGCATTTATTTCTGTCTGAAATTATCTTGGTTTATTTTGCTTGTTTATTATCTTTTTCTGCTAGCATATAAATTCTAAGAGAGCAGAAAATTCTTGTTTAATGCTGTATTTGCAGCATCTAGACCAATGCCTAGGCATATGAGGTGATTAGTAAACATTTGTTGTTTGCTGTTTGTTTTTAGAGACAGGGTCTCACTTTGTTGCTCAGGCTGGTCACAAACTCCTGAACTCAAGGGATCCTCCTGTTTTGGCCTGCCAAAGTGCTGAGATTACAGGCGAGAGCCACCATACCTAGCCAACAAAACTCTTGTTCCACTGTAGTACACTGAATTACTGAGCAGAGACGCCTGCTGCTCATCATTTTGTGCCTTCTCTGAAGCAGCATCTGTCCACTTTCTCCATCACTAACTCAATCGTCCATTTACCCAGGCAGGCTTAGTTGTGGAGCAAGGAAGAAGAGAAGTTTCTTGTTTATCTTGTTTTCAAAACAAATGGAGATTATAACAAAGGTGATCAAACCATATCTCTATAAAAATGACTCTTCCATCTCACCCTCATAAGGATGGCTACTATCAAAAAAAGCAAAGCAGAAAATAAAATGTCAGTGAAGTTGTGGAGAAACTGGAACCCTCCTGTGTTGTTGGTGGGAATGTAAAACAGTGCAGCCACTGCAGAAAATACTATGATGGTTTTCTCAAAAAATTAAAAATAGAATTCCGTATGATCCATCAATCCCACTTTTTGGGTATATACTCAAAAGAATTGAAAACAGGGTCTTGAACAGATATTTGCATACGCATGTTCATAGCAGCAGTATTCACAATAGTCAAAATATGGAAGCAACTGAAGTCTTCATCAATTGATGAATGGATAAACAAAATATGTGTCCTAAAATGGAATATTATTCAGCCTTAAAAAGCAAGGAAATTCTGACACATGCTACAACATAGATGAACCTTGAGGATATTATGCTAAGTGAAATAAGCCAGCCACAAACAGACAAATACTGTATGACTCCACTTACGTAAAAGGTGCCTAGAGCATTTAAACTGACAGAGACAGAAAATAGAATGGCAGTTACCAGTTGGGCTGAGAGAGGAATGGGGAGTTTTTTAATGGATACTGAGTTTTTCAACATGAACAGAATTCCAGAGATTGGTTGTACAACAATGTGAATGTACTTAACCCTAATAAATTGTCCACTTACAAATGGTTAGGATGATAAATTTTGTCATGTGCATTTTGTCACAATTTAATAAAAGGATTAAAAAATAACTTTGGGAGCCAGATGCAGTGCCTTTCACCTGTAATCCCAGCACTTTGGGAGGCCAAGAAAGGAGGATCCCTCGAGCCCAGGCATTCTAGACCAACCTGGGCAACATAGTAAGACCCTGTCTCTACAAAAAAAAAAATTACAAAAATTAGCCATGTGTAGTGGTGCTCGCCTATAGTCCCAGCTACTTGGGGGGATGAGGTAGGAGGACCACATGAGCCCAGGAAGTCTAGGCTGTAGTGAGCCATAATCACACCACTGCACTCCAGCTTGGGTGACAAAGTGAGACCCTGTCTCAAAAAAATAATAAATAAATAAATAACTTCAGGCCAGGCATGGTGGCTCATGCCTGTAATCTCAGCGCTTTGGGAAGCCCAAGTGGGAGATTCACTTGTGGTCAGGAGTTGAAGAACAACCTGAGTAATGTAACAAGACCCCATCTCTACAAAAAACTAAAAAAATTAGCCAGGCATGGCGCACACCTGTAGTCCTAGCTACGTGCGGGGGCTGAGGTGTGAGGATTGCTTGAGCCCAGGAGTTTGAGGCTGCTGGGAGCTGAGATTGCACCACTGCACTCCAGCCTGGATGACAGAGCAAGACCTTGTCTCAAAAAAGAGAGAAAAAAAGGCTTTTTAATATAATGCATATACTTAAGCATTTTACAAGCATCTCTACAGAGATTTAGGACCTTGGAGCCTGAGATGTTTATGCATGAAGTCAGGCTGATGAGATCAGGCTGTGAATGAAAACAGTGCTCTGAAGGCAAGCCTCTGTGACACTCACCTATCCATACGAAGCTGGCAGACAATGCTTAGTGCATCCACAACTCCTTCTTCTTTCAGCTGTTGACAGCCAATGGATGTAGCAATAAAACACCCTGTTCTACCTATTCCTGCACTGAAAAGAAAAGAAAAGAAATTTAAAAAGTGGGGGAAAATGACAAAGATAAGAAACATTCTTTTACAAGGGTACTTTTAAATCTGAAACCACAGTTAAAAGTAGTATTCACATATTGAGTATTATAAACCTGGCCCTGTGCTAAGTGCTTAAAATATATTTTTACATTTAATTATAAGTAGTAGGATGAGAGGGGTGGGGGGAAGTGGTGAGTTGGGGGAACAGTAAAAAGGCATTATAATTGTTCTAGAAAAAATAAAAAATAATTAAGGTCTGCACTTAGGCAAGATACAGGCAGTAGAAAGGAGGGGGAAGATTTAGGCACATTCCCAGTGTGAATCTGAAGGACTGGAGCTGAAGAGGGAGAAAAGCAAAAAGTCAAAGATGACTAGGCCTGGAGAGAAAGAAGAATGGTGATGCCCTGAGGCCAAGTGCATGCTGGAATAGGGTGAATTTGAAGGAGGCAGGGAAGGGGAGTTTTGCCTTGGACATACTGATGTTCAGAAGTCTAGTGAATAATTGAGCAATTGAAGATTGGATTCATTTTAGGAGAGGGTGCAGCTAGAGGCACATATTTCCAAGAGATTTGTATAGACATGATAATTGAACAGAAATGATGTCTGTCCTGGTGGGTTTATACATTCAACTGCCTTAGACGATATGTCCATAAAATCAACCTCACAAGCACACGTGCTCTCTCTGTCTCTGTCTGCAGTTTTAACCACTAACAGTCTCTATGTAAAAGATTCTTTCAAATCTACATCTAGACTCCCTAAATTTCCTAAACTCTAGATTGTCATTCCATCTCCTCCTTACTATTTTGGACTTGCTTCAGTTCAATGTATCTAAATTCAATGTATCTAAAACAGAATTAATTATCTTTTCCCTCAATGGCATTACCAGTCTGCCACAAGTTTTCCAGCCTAGAAGTCTTGGAACCATCTTTTACATCTCTCCCTTTCTCACCTCCCACATCCAATCTGTTACCACTTCTTCTATTTTCCATCTCTGCTGAGCCTGTGGGATTCATGCTTTCCTTTCTATAGACTGTAATCACGTTTTCAACATCTCCTTTTTTCATGATTAGCAGTGATCTCATTATAGTTTCCAAGTCTCAAGTCTTTTCCTTGACAAATTCGCACAGCTGCTAAGTTCATCTTTCTGAAATAGGGACTTAATTATATCATTCCCTACTCAAAACCTATAGATGGCTCCATTAACTATAGCATAATGTCTAACCTCCCTACCATGGTATTCATGACCTTGCAAAATCTGAATGTGACTAACTTTCAAGCCTTATGTATTTTGCTGTCTTCCCTCCCGTGTGCCATGATTTTCACTTACGTCAATTGTTTGGGCTTTTGGTTTTCCAATTTTTCTGTGTTAACAATGTTTTCTTGGTCAGAAATGCCCTCCCTCCTTTTAAAACCACAACATTGATTATTTCAAAAGGCTCAGTTCAGCATTATTCCAATTTTTAGAGGTTTTCTTCAGCTCCCATGGTTGGAAATAATTGCTCCCCTCTTGGCACTCAAATAGCACCTATTTCTCACATTTGGCACTTGTTTTCTGTTGAATGTGAGTGCAGAGGAATTCAGAGGAGTGGCTCTCTTTTAGCTGAAGTGTCCACAGAAAGTTCATTTCATTGAAGAAATAGGATTGGAACTGTGCCCCATGAATGGCAGGTATTTTGGCTGTTATAACTGAGAGAGAATATTCTAGGTACGACAATGATATACAATGAAAGAAGAAAAGAATTAATGAGAAACAGCAAATATGATTTGCAACAATAAGTAGAACAGCTTGTCTTGAAGAGAAAGTTATTTTAGTGGAACTATGGGAAATAAAGATAGAGAGGTACCCTGGGATCTTATATGGAAGGCTAAGTGGTTTGAAATACATCCTTTTTTTTTTTTTTAAGTAAGAATTTGATGAAGACTATAAGCTTCCACTCTTCAGAAAAATTCACATAAGTTTACATACTCAAATGTGTCCAAATAATTTCAAGGAGTTCACTGACCTCTGCGGTTTATGGATAGGTTCAACGTTAGGGACTTTTGCTCTAGTTTTTTTTTTTTTTTTTTTTTTTTTTTTTTTTATAAGACAGAGTCTTTCTCTGTCGCACAGGCTGCTGAAATACAGTGGCGGGATCTTGACTCACTGCAACCTCTGCCTCCTCGGTTCAAGCGATTCTCCTGCCTCCGCCTCCCAAGTAGCTAGGAGTACAGGCACATTCCACCACGCCTGGCTAATTTTTGTATTTTTAGTAGAGAGGGCGTTTCATCATATTGGCCAGGCTGGACTTGAACTCCTGACCTCAAGTGATCTGCCTGCCTCGGCCTCCCAAAGTGCTAGGATTGCAGGTGTGAGCTACCGCACCTGGCCCATTGACAAGCTTTGAGCAGAGACTCCATGTAAGGTGAGACGGAGAAAGGGCACAGGTAGGCCATGGTGGCGGTGAGAGCATGGGGGAATGCGGTATGTGTGTGCATTTTACCAGCTACTTCTAAAATACATGGATGAGGTCAGAAGGGCCTGAACTATGGTGGCTGGACAGGAAATGGTGATTATGGGAGAAGCTTTGAAGGGAAAGCCAATCTAGTGACTGATTAGATACTGATGTTGGAGTTAAAAGGAGGACCAGAGATAACTGTCAACATGGGATCCTGAGTGACTGGAAAAAAGATAGTCTCATTCTCAGAAATAGTAATCAGAAGGGGAGCTGGTTTTATAGGGGAAGTGACTAGTTCATTTTAGATATCCTGAGTGTTTAATGACTTTGGGTGGGGGACAGTTCCAGCCCTAACGCATAGTCAGTTAGGCTGTTTTTTTGTTTTTGTTTTTTTGGCTCCAAGTTAAGTTTAGGATAAAGCCAGTATTATCTACCTTTGGATAAATAGACACATAGTAAACTTTACTCTTAATTAAACCACACAATCTCAAAAAAGGAGGCTAAAATTATACTCTAAAATAATATATTTATTAAATATATCATCAAAAGCTGACTTAAGAGACCTATGCGGTTAAACAAAGCAACCCAAATTATTTTGAGAAAGCATGAAGAATAAATGGCTGGCTGGGCATGGTAGCTCACACTTGTAATCCCAGCACTTTGGGAGGCCAAGACAGGTGGATCACGTTTGAAGTCAGGAGTTTGAGACCAGCCTGGCCAACATGGTGAAACCCCCGCCTCTACTAAAAATATAAAAATTAGCCAGGCGTGGTGGTGCATGCCTGTAATTCCAGCTACTTTGGAGGCTGAGGCAGGGGAATCACTTGAGCCAAGGAGGCGGAGGTTGCAGTGAGCCGAGATAGCGCCACTGCACTCCAGCCTGGGTGATAGAGTGAGACTCTGTCTCATAATAAATAAATAAATAAATAAATAAATAAATAAATAGTTGTTCATATAAATTACTTTAAAAATGCTGCCTTCAGTTTGGTTACATTAAAAGGAAAATTAGGGGAAGGAGGTATCAGTTTTAGGAAGAGAGCTTTGAACTAGAAATTAGGGACAGGAACCAGCACAGACCCTGCTGCTGTTGTTGGCTTGGCCTCTAGTGCTCCATGTTCTGGTAACAGCACTTTGTTTTCCTTTGGTGACTTGCTCACTTCTCATTTCATAAATTTGTTTCAACCTGTTTTTCTGGAGATAACTCTTAAAATAATTGACTGGTTTTCACCAAACTTGAAATAGTAATGTTACCAAGATACAAGCCAAGCAGAGTTCACATGTCATGTTGAAACAACAAAAAAGCCACTGATAATTTCAAAAAGTGCATCTTTATTCCTGGTGTGTACAAGACTGATGAGACTAAATCAATCAATATAAGTTTCAAAGCAGATAACTGCTGAATAGGTCTCCTGTTCACTGAGCCATTTATTACGAACTTGTATTTCGCCGACTGTGTAATTGTTGTTTGTGAAAAATGACCTAAAAGCATGACTTCACTTCTGTCAGCATAATCTTGATTCAGACTCAAATATTACAGACTTAACCAATTTCAATAAATATTTAATTTGCCAACAAAGTCACATCCAGGAAGCAAAACCCACTTGCACCTGCTCTGTGACTTTACAAAGAATGGGCCATTGCTTAGACAGAAAGGACCATACACGTCTTACCTGCAGTGGACAACCACAGGCCCTCGGCCCTGGGAAGCAAGTCTGTCTTCTTCTACATCCAGCATGAGCTGTAGGAGGGGCTGGGCACTGTCTGGAGTCTTGTGATCAGGCCATGAGGTGTACCAGTAATGCTTCACATGTTGGGTGTGGCTTCCTTGCTGAAAATAGCAACAGCCACCAAATGCCTCATTCACTTGTAGAACTAAAAGTCATCCAAACCACAATACTGAATGCCTTTTATCACCCCCATCTTGCTGGCAATTTATTTCTAGGTGGGAAAAAAATTTAGAAGATTTTTGAAGAGTGCCCTTTTACTTTGAGAAGACTTTACTGTCAGTAACCTGTTTGCAAAGTGAGAAAGTCATACCTTTGTTGAGATTTACATCTCTACCTATAGTTATAATATAGATCATATAAGTAACATATGCTAAATATATATTTATAATTTATTATAATAAACAAGATGGTAGGTGAAAATGTAGCCAAGAAAGAATGAGATATATTTTGTTTCCTGCTCTATGAGCATTCCTGACAAGTTATTATAAACATGTTAATCAATAGAACACTTAATTTCATATCAGTCATGCTAATACTTCTACACTCATCCAAAACTCCAGTATTTAATAGGAGTGAGGAATCACAGCAATAAAGAAGCTACATGAGATCCCTCTATTGGAAACACTTGGGTGAGGGCCCACACACCTCATCTCCAAACCCAGCACGGGTGAGGGTGTGGCATGAACCTCGCACTCCAGAACATGTGTTGAAAAATAAGTTTTGGTAAATGCCTTCCTATTCCAAACTTCCCCGGCACTCCAGAACATGTGTTGAAAAACAGGTTTTGGTAAACGCCTTCCTATTCCAAACTTCCCAACAAAAGCCATCACTGTAGCTCTGCCCCTGTTTTCTTCCTCTTTGTGATGATTCTATCCCAGCAGTGAGGCTGCAGATAAGATCGAAATTTTTGGGTGATTATTCTCCAGAAGCAAAAATAATACCATGGTAACATTTCTCAGCATCTGCTGCCCATGAGTTAAATAAGATAGTTTTCCTATGACATAATCTCGTCTGGGGAAAGTCCCTATAAATTACTGTAACTCCACGCTTCTGAAGATCTCATCAACACTTCAGGCTTGCCTTGCTTCCCACTGCCACCCACAAATGCAGATTTTCTCTTTCACAGCTTCCAGGCCTTACGCAAAGCTGCTTAGATCAAAATGACATTAAAAAAAATCATGGTAAAGTCTCCAGCACAGCCTTTAGTTAAAAGCTTTCAAAAGGTTAAATCAGAGATATTTTATTAACGCAAATTAGAGGATCACAACATCCTACATAATGAATTTTCTTAATGTCTACTTACATTCATTTAATTATACTGCATATTAATAGTAGTTGACAACAAAAAATACATGAGGGAATGATTATAGTTTCTCTTTGATCTTAACATTATTTAATTTGCTTAAATTGCATTTGTAGTACTTAAATAATTTCAAAGTAGAAATGTAATCCTCTAACATCATCTACTTTGTAGATGGCTATAGCTACATAATCTTACCTTTAAGACAAGGTTTCGAATGGTGTAGTTATCACATTCATTTACACTGATAACCAGAACCTCAACTTTTCCATATATCCCTCTCTTTTCCGGCCAGTATAGCACACATTTCTGGAGGAAGGGAAAGAGAATACAGCAAATATTAATGGCTTTTATTAGCCATGGAGTACTTTTCATTCAAGCATCTCAAGAGTTTTATATCATTAGTTTTAAAATATCAAATATCAATTTTTATAGTTTTGTAAATATACTAAAACCATTGAATTGTAAATCTTAAGCAGCTAGATTTTATGGTATATAAATTATATCTCAACAGTTTTTTTTAAAGTATCAGTTTCATATGTGCCTATTAAACACTGTCACTGCTGGCTCCATACAAAAAAAAAAGGCAGAATTACCCAAAACTCCTCAGAGAAATTAAGAACTAATTAAGAAGTTAAGAAATTTAAGAGTTAAGAAATTGAGATCCAAATATTAGAATTTATCATGTGCTGACTAGAAATAAAAGAATGTTTTCCCACAATAATTGAGGAAAGTTACATTTTCCTGCTTCAACAAACTTATGTCTAATGAGAATATCTAATATGTTAGGTGGCATACAACCAAGTTTCCTTTATATGTAAGGCAGATATAATGATCATTAATACAACTATGGTATTATATTTTCCCGGACCAACAGTTTTTTTCACTTATGGAACTAATTTACAAAAATTACGTTAAAAATATTTTTATAATGGATCCTCCTGAGGAGCTTTAAAAGAGTGACAATAATTATACTGCAAGCAAGGCAACATAGCATGGTGGTTAAGGCGCAGGCTTTGAACTCGGAACCTGAGTCCAAATTTTGGTTCTACCATTCATTACCTGTGAATCCACGAACAAGATACTTAAACCCTTTGGTTATAGTTTCTTTATTATTGGCTATCTGGAAAGTACTTAGGATAAAGCCAGGCATAGAGTAAGCACTTACAACATGTTATTATTGCTGTTGTTATTTTAAAACTACTGGGTGATAGGTTTTTGGCCCAAAGTGATTAGATCTTCATGCATTAAATATTATTTTGGTATTATTATAGTCAGTTATCATTATTAAATAAAAATTGCAAAATGAGATTCAAGCATACATATAATCTCATTTTGCTTTTTAAACAACTGTAAAATAACTATTTTTTACCACAAATTTTGATGATAAAGAATGTAAAATGACAAATGTTTATGTTTTATTTTGAGTGCTCTTGGAAGCAATGTTAATTTTAGAAATGTTTAAATAGCACTTATTTTCTCCCAACCATACATACATTTACATAGAAATTCTTTCATTTGTTGCCTTCAATCAGAACCTTTTAATACCCAGGACACTTGTTTCTTCACATCTTTGTCAAAGGCATATGAATACACTTGATAAAAATTTAAATACTTATAGATTTAAAAGAGCAGCAAAAGACTCACAAAATTATAGAACTGAAGGAAAAGTGACACAAAGTATCAGAAACACACCTCCAGGGCTCTATTATGCTAAGTACCACTACTCTACAAGCTAGCACAGCGAAGGAAGTCACTTCACCTAGCAGAATCAGTTTCTTTCATCCATTACAATAAAAACACATTTACATCCTCTACATTTTGACCCTTTTTCTAAATGAAGTAAATTGTTTCAGCTTTATTTACATGCCACCTGAGACTCTCAGGCTATCAGACCAAAAGACTTACTCTGGCTGACTTAATGTTAACATTAAGAGAAGAAACCTTTTTAAAGTAGAGCAACTCATTTCTCTCGAAATCTATGAGTTGCCAAATGTCTAAAATTTTCCCACTTTGTTAAAGGTAATCATACAAACCAATTTGCCTGGTTTCTTTCAATGAAGCATCAATTATTTCGCTGTAAGACCCGAGCTACTGTGTATCTTAAAACCCATGCCTCCCGATGAGTCCAAGAAGAATGACAAAGAATCTTGGAAAAGGTATTGAACAAAGAAAGAGGCATTCATTCAGTAGTCCAGCAGTCTGGCGTACGTGCCCCATTGTCCACGATCAGACCTGAGCAGCAGGGCCCTCTTTAGGAAGGTGGCTCTCAAAACCAGTAAGAAAAGCTGCAAAGCAGGAGCTTGCCGCCTGCACCCTGACTCTTAATACTTGCACAGGCTTCTGCACCTACTTGATAAATGGAAATGCTGCTCGCTTCTCTCCCAAGCTTGCCGGGGGCCCTCTTGAATGTTTTTTTTGACTCGTTACCAAAAAAGCAATTGGCAGTCAGCTCCCAGTAGACAATGCAATGTGACTTGTTCATTCAAACAACCCTTAATTAGCATCCCATCTCCTTTCTGAGATACAATAGCTTATTTTTACACACTGAATACATTTTTCCCTCATTTAGATGACAGAAAAAGAGACCAGATAAGTGTGGGTACTTTTGAATATGAGGTGGGGGACAGCTGCAAATGCAGTTGTTTCTAAGAGTACAAGTTCATGTTCAAATTATTTTCCTGTACAGCTTTTTAGGGTTTCTTTATTGTGGTGCTAACAATGAGATAAAAGAGGCAGAAAAGGCAGGGAAGAAAAATGCTGCCTTACAGATAATACTGTGAAACCACACTAATTGTAGGTGATTCAAAATAGCATGCTATTTAGCAGAATATAACCCCAAATCATCACTATTCTTTTGCTAGCTAGGCTTATCCTTTCAGTAAAATTATCTATTAATTCTAAGAATCCATAATTTGGAAGAAAAAAATAGGTTTCCAGAGGACAGTGTCTCTTGTGCAAACAAGTTATTATCAAACTCTGACTGAAAAGATTCTGGACATTAACCAGTGCTTTGTAACTGGTGGTTTACAGCAAAAGTAGGATGTAACACAAAGCAATGCAAATTCTTTTTTTTTTTTTTTTTTTTTTTTTTTTTTTTTTTGTGATGGAGTCTCATTCTATCACTCAGGTTGGAGTGCAGTGGCACAATGTCAGCTTACTGCAACCTCCACCTCCCGGGTTCAAGCGATTCTCCCGCCTCAGCCTCCCAAGTAGCTGAGATTACAGGTGTGCACCATCACGCCCAGCTAATTTTTGTATTTTTAGTAGAGACGGGGTTTCACCATGTTGGCCAGACTGGTCTTGAACTCCTGACCTCAGGTGATCTGCCCACCTTGGCCTCCCAAAGTCCTGGGATTATAGGCGTGAGCCACTGCGCCCGGCCGCCAGCTCATATTTTTGTGATCTTTTTTCTTCCCTTGATTCTCCTTCTGGCCCCCACCAAGTTAGGGCTATGTGAGGAGGCGGTCTAGCTAGTTGTTTAGTTGCCTGAAAAAAAAAAACCTATTTTTAAGTTATTTTCTTTTTAGTTTCTATATATTTAAATATCAGAGATATTGCTCTATAAGCTAAAGATCTGTATCATCACATAGAATGTGGCTCTAAGTAAATAAAATCTTCATACTTAGCTTCATTTGGGTTATATTAATACATGAGAGGGATAGAATGGGTCAGGTTGTCTAAAATTATTATTACTATAGCTACTTTTATTCCTGGTGCTCCGATGGAATATTACTGACATAGGCTCAGAGATTTAAGTACCTTCACCAACATCATATCATTTAGCCCCTTCCACAATCCTTTGAAGTAGGTAGGGTGGGTAGCAGGTATTATTATTATTTAAATTATTTTTCAGATGAGGACATGAAGGCTCAGGTGTTTTGGTAGGGGAAAATTGCCTTGGGGGGCTAGAATTTTCCAAGAAAATATCACTTTATGAATGAAACTTTCCATCTTTGATTTCCACACTGACTCTTAACCAATGCTACTTAACCACAGCATTGACCAATGACCTGTTCCCTCTGTCAAATATGTTGAGGCACATGCAACCTTGCATAGTCTTGGTTCACTCTCCTACTGAGCTCAGTACTTCTGTTACCATCTTTTGATCTCTGTGTTCCTCAAGTTGTTTTTATACCAAAACACCTTTATGGCAGGTGTACTTATTATTGAAGTCCAGTAATTTAATTACATATTACAGAAATCAATAAAATATGAGGTTTAAAAGAGAAAAGAGCTTTATGAGATAATTGAATAAGTTGCGTAAGTTTTTCACTGGTGAAAAAAGTAAACCAGTAAAGAAAACTACAGTCAAATCAGGGACAGGTGAGACAATGACAGAAATTTGTCTCTAAGTTAAAAAATCTAAATAGAAAACTGCATTTATATTGTTTCATAGGCTTTTCTATTTTCTCTTTCATTTTAAATAAACTAAAATGGAAAATTTTGATAATATATAAACAATGTGATTGACATAAACTATATGATCTAGAACTCCATCTTCAGACCAACACTCATAAGACTGAACCCCATAATAAACAAACACATTTGAATATGAACAAATGTACATGTTTTAAAATAAAATACTTTTTTTATGATTCTCACATTGACCATTTTTGATTAACTGTGTGTTTTTCTGTTTTTTTTTTTTTTTTTTTTTTTTTTTTTTTTTTTTTTGAGACGGAGTCTCGCTCTGTCACTCAGGCTGGAGTGCAGTGGCACGATCTTGGCTCACTGCAAGCTCCGCCTCCCAGGTTCACCCCATTCTCCTGCCTCAGCCTCCCGAGTAGCTGGGACTACAGGCGCCCGCCACCATGCCTGGCTAATTTTTTGTATTTTTTAGTAGAGACGGAGTTTCACCGTGTTAGCCAGGATAGTCTCGATCTCCTGACGTCGTGATCCTCCTGCCTTGGCCTCCCAAAGTGCTAGGATTGCAGGCATGAGCCACCGTGCCTGGCTGATTAACTGTGTTAAACAAGAGGGCTTCTAACTATAGTTGGAAGTAAAGCAGGCTAATGCAGTTTAAACATAACACTGTGGATTAAACATTAAGGTGCAAAGTTAGATTTGGAATATATGCATGCCTGGAAGGACAGGAGAGTAATTTTGTTTGGGCGCAGTCAGCATCTGAATTTCTAGCCACCCTTAATTGCTTGGTCAGCATACCCATCAACCCCCTGGTTACCCATGAAATGAAATTAGGCTGCCTGTCACTGCTGGACAGTGGTGGCCAGGTTGCCTCTCCACCAACATGATGGCCCTAAGTCAGAGGCTAGGTGGCCTTGGTCATGCTTGTGGTGGCTTTGGTCTCTTTGCTTCCTGTTGAATCTATCTTGAATGGATTCGTGTTTCATAAGCAAAGTCCTGCATGAGATCCTAATTTATCTTGTGACTCCAATTTATGCTCATGAATCCAGTTGACCAGCGACAGCATTCATAATATCTAATTCTGATCCTCCAAAGGAAAGCTGAATACCAGAAAGGGACTCTCTTCTGCTTGCTTGCTAGGTTGGACTCCCACAATAATACCTTCTCTGACCTTGTTTGGATAGACCCTCTGGTTGTGGGACTTGGTTTGCTCGTTTCTTTTCATTCATTTTCAAAGCATGAATCCTTTAGTCTACTCCACAGTGATCTGCAAATTGAGGACGACTTCTCCCTCATAATCCTAGTCCACACTTTCAAAATTGTCCACTAGTTTGAATAAACAGATTCAACGTTTTTTTTAAAACCTGATCAAAATGTCTTGTCTATCTCCTCTTCCAAAAGAGAATGGTTATAGATTTCTAACCTTGAATGTAAGCAATCATACATACCACTTTCTGGATGCAATCACTTCTTGCACTGTAGACTATCCTTTCCCACCATAAGTGGATTCCAGGCAGCAGCATAGTGTAATGGTGAGGAGGAGGAAGAGAAGGAAGAGGAGGAGAGGAGGATAAGGAAGAGGAGGAGGAGGATAAGGATGAAGAAGAGGAGGAAGAGGAGGAGGAGGAGGAGCAGCAGCAGCTTGGGAGTCAGCTGTTTGGCTTTGGGCAAGTTGCCTTCCTGTGCCTCAGTGTTCTCATTTGTAATGGGGTTTACAAATATGTTTACTATAAAGATTAATTTTCAAGCACACTGTTAGTGCTCCATAAACAGTTGTTCTTCAGAAGATCCAACAGTCCAATTTCTGAGCTTTCCATGTATATTTGTTGAACCTTCTAGATTACCTTTTACTCTACTTTTTAAGCTAATTATAAATGATAGAGAAGATATATTTTCATTTTATGCATTTAGAATTTAACATGGCACACTTAACATTTTCTTATTAGTATCTTACCAGAATAATTTATTTTCTCCTCAAACATATAGTTTAATAAAGTCCACTTTATTTTAAAGTAAAATTTACATATCTATTGAGTAGCCAATCTTTCTATCTGAATGAATGCACATCTGATTTTATAATGAAATTTAAGGCAATGTACTCCATTAATGTATACTTACTACATACCCACAAAATTAAAAATAAAAATTTAAATAAAGAAACTCTTTTGTAAAGGCAAACATGGGCTGTGCTCAGTTGCTTAGTCAATATTTATATTTCCAAAAAAACTTTCTTGGAATGTATTTAATTAATCAAAGACATATATGGTAGCTGCAATTTGACTTAATGAGGTCTTAAGGTTTTTGTGGACAATAAATTGGAAACAATTTAAGTACCTATCAATAAGGAAATGATTACATTTTAGCACATCCACACAATGAAATTCTAGTAATTTAACATTTTGATGAATTATTAATGACATGGAGAATACTCATAATGTTAAAAGCAGAATATACATCATAATACAATACCCTCTTTTATTGTCTTTACACCAATGCTGTACCTTCTCATGACATCTGATCTCTCTCACCTGTGCATTTCTCCAGAGTACCCTTATTTCTAACTGCTTAATAGACTTAAAAGACTTTACCAGCCAGAAGTCTCCAACATTTATCAAACTTAACAGGTTAAAGATGAAACTGATATCACATCCACTCAACCTCCCAAACCAGAAGTCCTGAAGTCAAGCTCTCACTTACTCCCATTCGATGAGAAACTAAGCACTGTGGTTTCTACTGCTGGAACACTTAAATATATCTTCCAAAGCTATTTTATATATATATGCTATTTATATATATATATATACACACAAGCTATGTGTGTGTGTGTATATATATACGAGCTATATATATATATAAGCTATATATATACACACAAGCCATATATATATATGTTATACACACACACACACACACACACACACACAAGCTTGCACACTGTCAGCCAGGCTGGAGTGCAGTGGCACGATCATAGCTTACCGCATCCTCAAACTCCTGGGCTCAAGCGATCCTCTGGTCTCTGCCTTTCAAGTAGCTGGGGCTACATTTGTACACCACCATGCCTGGCTTGTTTATTTATTCCTATCATGGCAATGGCTAATTAAAAAAAAATTTCATTTGTAGAGACAAGGTATCCTTATGTTGCCCAGGCTGGTCTCGAATTCCTGGCCACAAGTGATCCTTTCACCTTGGTTTTCTGAAGTGCTGGGATTACAATGGAACATCTTTTAAATGTCTCCCCCTTGGGCACCTACTCACTTTTCAGACCCATAGGTATCATATGAGCTTTCTGGCCAAACATGTGTAATTAAAATGAATATTTTCTATAATTTTAGCAGATAGAAAAGGGAAGAGAATGAAAGAAGGAAAAAGTTAATATATGGCTCCTTATGTGGCTTTTTGAGATTGAACCGTTTGCAAAGTACTGAATAAGTCAATGGGCAAAATGGGGCTTAGAGTACTTAAGTCAAGTAGTTTAACTCAGATGAAAGATGCATGTAAATGTAGAGAAAGAGTACAGCTGTGTTAAACTGAGAGCAGTGTGTTAGGCCAAATTATCCAGTAATTCCTTCACTTCATGAAAGATAGGTTCAGGGTCTTATTGCTCTTTGGGACCAAAAGTGGGTTGCTTGCCTTCTAATGTCTTAATTCTTTATTTGGCTCCTTATAATGTTGGGGCAATGATTAAGTGCCTGGGCTTTGGAATTAAACAAGCCTGGATTGAAATTTGGACTCCATCAACTCACTAACTTTGAGGCTCTCATTCTCTCTGAGCTTTGGTTTTCTCATTTATAATATAGGAATAGTAAAACCTACTTTGTAGAGTTAGAGGAAAATAAACTGAATTTATGTGTGTTCAAATTGTGCTTAGCACATATGATCAATAAATGGTAGTGGCTAGAAAACATCTTCCACTGTGTATGTAATATGGTCAACATGTATACCTACTTCCCTTCTTTTCTGAAAGGGGAGAGAAATGCAGTAAGTAACTTCCAGAAGTAGTATGGGGGCTTTGTTTCGCTGGAAGTGTGCAAAAACTACTTGCCATTTTGGATTGCTCTTGCAGTTCCAGCTTTATAGGTTTAAGCCACTATGTCTTCTCTAGCAGTGGAATTTGAACACTGTCATTTCAATGTTTCCTTCTCTGAAGAGGAATTCCCTTTCTCTTGAGATTTATCTAAATGAAGGAACTCAAACTTACCAGCAATAAAATCTCTTTAATTGCAACTTAACTGTTTTTTCAGCTATGTATATTTTCATTTTTAATTTATTTTCATTTTATAAACATTGAGGTCATGAGAATATTGGAGTTATTAAATAAGAGATGGCAATTATTCATTTATTTATTTGCTAGAAAGTAGAAAGTTGCATGAAACTATAAAGCCTGGGAATTTCTAAAGATAACTCCATCTCCATATGTTTTTTGGAGGAAATGATTTTTGTCTTTTCCAAACAATGACGCTTAACACAATTGAAAGTTGGCACATTTTTGGTAAACAGAATTTTCCTGGTAGTGTGAAGTCTACTGTGTATTTCTTTTGTGCCAGACTTCTCAGTATCATTTTGATCTGTAAAACATCAGCGTTTCCTGTATTGTATTATATTTACGTCTTTGGAGAGTCTAGACAGAAATTTTTATTTTAAAGAGTAATGAATAATAAAAAATAACAAAATTTTTATTGTAATATTTGGGATTATGACTGGCTGTAGGGAAAAAAAGCACAAAGCAGATTACACATAAAAGACATATAACATAAATGTTTGACTTTGATATCCCCAGAAGGTATATCTCAGACATTAAAAAAGACAGGAGGCTAAAAATTGTAACACGCAAACAAAAATCATTTCTCCAATTTCTGAATTATGTGGTCAAAGAAAAAAATTAAAACTTCAACCACCCATTGGTGTAGGAATTGTTAAAAAAAATTCTAGCTTTCCACAGATCCATTTGGCTCTCCTGTAAAGACTGAAATCTGAGAATGGTAACAACAGGTTATCTCTGAGGACAATTACTGCACTTGAGAAAGAAAGAACAAGATACGCTTTATTCCCTTGCAGATACTGAATGGAGAGCTCTGAGCATCATAGGTAAACCAACTCTGTGTCACTCTGAAATACATATTTGAGGCTGCTGCATGCAGTTCCCCGGCTAGCTGCAGTCATTGGTGCCAGTGCTCAGGCACCTGCTGTCCTTGACCTCTGGCCCCACAAGCACTAACCCAGCGCAGGAGGACCAGCCACCGCCGCCAGGCTCTGATGCTGGTCTCTGGTAGAAGAAGGTTGCTCACAGCTCTGCTGCAGGCTCAGAAGTGGCCCTTTCAACCCTCCAGAGACATGAGACTAGTCCAGTTCCAGGCACCCCACCTGGTGGGGCCTCACTTGGGCCCAGAGATGGAGAATGGTGGAAGGGTTATCAACCTCAATGCCTTTGACTCTATGCTCCCCAAAATGATGACACAGTTCCTAGAGCAGGGAGAGGCCATCCTCTCAGTGGCAAGAAGAGCCTTGGGTGCCCAGTTGCCAGTCCTACCATGGTTGGAAGTGACCTCCCTGGCTCCAGCCACATGGCCAGATAAGGTGGTGTGTGTGGGCATGAATTATGTGGACCACTGCAAAGAACAGAATGTGCCCGTGCCCACGGAACCGATCAACTTCAGCAAGTTTGCCAACTCCATTGTGGAGCCCTATGATGAGATGGTCCTCCCATCAGAGAGCCAGGAGGTAGACTGGGAAGTGGAGCAGCTGTGGTCATTGGAAAGAAAGGCAAGCACATCAAGGCCACAGATGCCATGGCCCATGTGGCTGGCTTCACTGCGGCTCATAACGTGAGTGCTCATGACTGGCAAATGAGACATGATGGGAAACAGTGGCTGCTGGGAAAAACCTTCAACACCTTCTACCCTCTGGGCCTTGCCTTGGTGACCAAGGACAGTGTAGCAGATGCACACATCTTAAAGACCTGCTGCCAAGTGAATGGGGAAGTGGTCCAGAGCAACAACACCAACCAGATGGTGGTCAAGACAGAGGAGCGGATAGCGTGGGTCTCCCAGTTTGTCACCTTTTACCCAGGGGATGTCATCCTGACTGGGACCTCCCCAGGTGTTGGTGTATTCAGGAAACCTTCTGTCTTTCTCAAGAAGGGAGATGAAGTCCAGTGTGAAATTGAAGAACTAGGTGTCATCATCAGCAAGGTGGTGTGATGGCTCCTGCACAGGCCCTGGTCATAGGATGGGGGCATCTGCTCCCACTCAGCTTAGCCCAGGGAAATGTCGAATGCCAGGTGTGGGCAGGTGCCAGCCCTGTAAGCCTCCTCTTCTAGGTAGAAGGGAGAAGGATAGAGCTCTCTTCAATAAATACGTCGGGCCAAAGCAAAAAAAAAAAAAAAAAAGAAAGAAAGAAAGAAATATATATTTGACTTATACAGCAGTTCTGGTACAATGACATCCTTGGTCTTGGAGAAGGAGGATGAGAGCAACCGTCTGCTGGGGCTTTGGCATATTAATAATTGCTCACATCATCCCTATTGGATTTCTTTAAAATATGTCACATATTACACACCCTCTAGGAAATGTCTTCTGCCTAACCAGCAATCTTAGTTTCTGTCCTGCTAAAACCCTGATTCAAGAATGAGGTAAAGCACTAAAGGCACATTCCTGACTTTTTCTATAAGAGTGAACACAGATAAACATACATTACAAGATTCAAAGATTGAAATGCTCAAAAGAACAAACACCGTAATGTATCTTACACAGTTATTACAATGTATTCTGTAATCCTTGTGAGATATTGTTTCACATATCATTTGCCAAGTGTTAATCCTTAGTACATATGCAACACTAAATTGCATGTAATAAGTAAGTAATTTTTCTGGGGAAAATATTATTTGTTTTAAAACATTTACATACTTATATTTACAAATAGTTTCATAAATTATGGTGCTATGTTGATTTTATAAGATTTTATTTGTAATAGAAGAAGAAATAGAAATAATAAGAAATATTTAAGGGCATGAATGCACTTTGAAATAATATTTATTTTATGACAATTTACTCAGAAAATTCAAACCAAAGTGGGCAGGGGTAAGGCATTTTGCTCAGATCTACGAAATGGTGCTAAATATTGCATGAAGTTGTTCATAGTGTCCTCTTTTATTTAAATCTCTGCTTTAATTATAGTCATTTTTAATGGTTTTTTTTGCATTTCCTTTAATTCTGCTAGTTTTGCCTATTTTATTAGACTTCAAAAAATTGACTTTTGTTTACATCAATCCTTTTTAAAAATTTTTTTTAAGGCAGGGTCTCATTTTGTTGGCCAGGCTGAAGTGCAGAGTAGCCCAATCATAACTCACCACAACCTCAATCTTCTGGGCTCCAGGGATCCTTTTGCCTCAGCCTTCTGAGTAGCTAAGACAACAGGTGCGCACCACCACCCCTGGCTAATTTTTAAATTTTTTGTTGAGATATAAGTCTCATTACATTGTCTAGGCTGGTCTCAAACTCCTGGCCTCAAGCAATCTTCCTGACTCAGCCTCCCAAAGTGCTGGGATTACAGAAATGAGCCACCATGCCTGGCCTCATCAATCCTTTTATCTTTGTTTTATGTTTAACATTTATTCTTCATTATTCCTTCCTTTTTTCTCTCCTGTTCATTTTATAGTTCTTTTACTAACTTAAGTCTGTTGCTTAGATCACAAATTCTTTTATAATATCATATTCATGCCTATAAACTTCCTTCTATGAGCATTTTTAGCAGCATCTCACAAGATTTGATGTGTAGTATTTGCATCATCCCTGAATTGCAGGTAATTTACAGTTATATTATAAATTCATTTTCATCCATGAATTGTGTGTGTGTTAAAACTTTTTTTAAGCATCAAAGTGTATTTTTTAATCTTATCTTTCTGCTTTTTATTTCTAACTTAATGCACTGTAATCGAAGCATATATGTACAGTTATTCCTGGAAATTTGCCAAGACTTGCTATATAGTCGTAGTTGGTCACTTTTCACAAAATCTCATGCTTTGAAAATTTATATTATGAGATTATTGATTGGAAGGTTCTATATATCTTTCTTAAACTAAGCTTGCTAATTTGAATAAAGGTTATGTATAAACTTTTTCTATATTTTTATTTTTTGTCTGCTTAATAAATACTAATATCTGATTTTTATTGGGTTTTCTCCCAGTGTGATGGTGATTTATCAATTCCTTCTTTAATTCTGCCCATTAATGCTTCAGATATTTGGGGGGAGGTTATGTATATTATGCATTTATATATTTAGAATCTTACTTGTGAATTTCACATTTTAGTGTTATAGATTGACATTCCTTATCTCTAGTAAGCTCTCTGATAATGATTGTTTTGATTTGAAATTCATTTTCATCTGACATTCTTTATCTCTGGTAACCTCTCTAGTAATTATTCTTTTGAGAATATTCTTTTGAGAATTATTCTTTTGAGAGTCAGTTTTATCTAACTTGACTTTTGATTAGTATTAGTTTGGTGTATTTTTTTCCATCCTTTCCATTTTAACATTTCTGTGTCCTCTTGTAGGCAGCATTTAACTGAATTTATTTATTTTATCAGTTTGGTAATCTCTGATATTTAATTTGCAAGTTATTTGTTTATATTTAGTATGATTTGGATTTTTTTCTATCTCCCAATTAGGTAAAAGTTTATCCTGATTTTTCTATATTACCTTTTGTTTTCCCTTTTATTTTGGTTTATTTTCGAAATTCTGTCTTTTCTCTCTTCTACCAGATTGGAAATTATACATTCTAATTCCATCCTTTTAGTGGCTAATCTTAAAATTTGAACATGCATATTTACCTAAAAGTCTAACCTTGGCTTATATTTCTCTTTTCGTGAATAACACAGAAATATTTTAACTTTCCTCATCTTCTCAAATTTTAAATACTATCATTATCCAGTATTTTAGTTTCACCTTCATATTTTACTTTCTTTGCTCACTATTATTTCTTGTATTTGAGTACTTTTTTTCTGGATTGAATTCTTCTTCATTCTGTTTTATCCTCCCTTGTAGTTGTTTTGGTAAGATTTTTTTTGGTGGTGAATTCTTACCATTTTTGTTAGTTTGAAAATGTCTTTCACACCTGGCCCTGTAGGATAGATTTGTTGGGTATAAAGTTCTGGGTAGTCAAGTATTTTCTTTCAGTTCTTTGTAGGTAATATTCTACTGATTTTTGGCTTCTAGTTTTGCTATAGAAAAGCCTTTTTTTTTTTGGTTAGTTACTCTGGTGGGAGTAATTACTTTCTTTGGTGCTTTTTCAGTTCCAGAGATGTGTCTAGCTGTGATTTACATTTACCTATTCAGCCTAGGATTTATTGTGCTTTTTAGATTTTTGAACTCAAGTCTTCCATCAGTTTTGGAAAATCCCTATCTATTATTTCTTCAAATATTACTTCTTTTCTCATATCCTCTTCTTTCTCCTTCTAAAACACCTGTTATGGTATATTGGATATCAAATACTATCCTCTATGTCTCTTAGACACTCTTTTTTATTTTTTTGTCATTTTGATCTTCTAGGTATTTTCCTTAGCTTTATATTTGAATCCATTAGTTATTCATTTAGCTGTGTCTTGTTTGATGCTAAACCTATCTAATAAGATTTTTTTAAACTTTAATGTCTTTATAATGTTTATTTCTAGTATTTGTTGTTTTAAATCTTCATAGCCTTTTTGGATAGTAACTTGTTCCTGTGTCAAATTTTTTATGCTTTTTGTGCTTAATTATTTAAAAGAGTAGCCTACATTTATTATTTCAGTTATTTTAATTTATGTGAATCTATTTAATTGTTGCTGCTTCTGATTTTTTCTCATGGTTTTTATTGGTTGCTTGTATGCCTCATAATTTTGATTGTAGGCTTATGTTTGCTGAGAGTTTTTTAATTTTATTTTAATTGACACAGAATTGTACATATTCATATTAATGTGATACTTCAGTGCATGTATATATGGGTTAATGATCAAATAAAGGCAATCAGTATATCCATCACTGCAAACATTTATTATTTGTTGTTTGTAGTGAGAATATTCAAAATCCTTTCTTATTTCTGGGCTCTATGTTCCATATTCCATTCCATTGGTCTATGTATTTGTTTTTTTTGCCAATATCATGTTGCTTTCGATACTGTAACTTTGGGGTATATTTTGAAGTCAGGTAGTATGATGCCTCCAGCTTTTTTTTTTTTTTGTCTCAAGAATGATTTGGCTAGTCAAGATCTTTTGTCGCTTCATACAAATTTTAGGATTAAAAATTTTTTTCCATGAAGAATGTTATTGGTATTTTGATAGGGAATGCATTGAATCTATTGATTGTTTAGCGTAGTATGGACATTTTAACAATATTAATTATTCCACTCCATGAACACAGGATATATTTCTGTTTATTTGTGTTCTCTACAATTTCCTTCATCAATGATTTATAGTTTTCAGTATAAAAGATATTTCACCTCTTTGGTTAGATTTATTTTTAGGTATCTCTATTTATTGGTAGCAATTGTAAATGGAATTGTTTTCTTGATTTTGTTTTTAGCTAGCTCACCATTAGCATATACAAATGCTACTGATTTTTGAATGTTAAATCTGTATCCTTGAACTTTACTAAATTTGTCTATTAGTTCTAACAAGTTTTGGTGCAGTCTTTAGGGTTTTCCATATATATGATCATATGATCTGCAAGCAGGGATAGTTTGACGCCTTCCTTTCCGATTTTGCCTTTTATTTCTTTCTCTTGCCTGATTACTCTGGCTAGGACCCCCAGTACTATGTTGAATAGAAGTGGTGAAAGTGGATATCCTTATCCCAGATCTTAGGAGAAAAGCTTTCAACTTTTCCACATTCAATATGATGTTTGTTGTGGGCTTGTCATATATGGACTTTTTAGTGTTGAGGTACATACTTTCTGTATCTAATTTGTTGACAGTTCTTATCATGAAGGGATGAATTTTGTCAAATTATTTTTCTTCGTCTATTGAAATGATGATATGGATTTTATCCTTCATTCTGTTAACGTGATGTATCATATTTATTAGTTTGTGTAAACTGAACCATTCTTGCATCCCTGGGATGAATTCCCTTGATCATAGCGGATGATGTTTTTAATGTGCTATTGATTTTTACTAATGGTTTACTAATATTTTATGAGCATTTTTGCATGTATATCAGAGTGACCTGTAGTTTCTTTTTTGGTTGAGTCCTTGTCTGGTTTGGGTGCTAGGGTAATGCTGGCCTTGTAGAATGAGTTTGGATATGTTCTCTCCTCTTTAATTTTCTTGAATAGTTTGAGGAGAATTGGTATTCTTTAAATGTTTGGTAGAATTCATTGGTGAAGCCATCAGGTCCTGGGTTTTGTCTTCAATGGGATACTTTTTTTTTTGAGATGGAGTTGCACTCTGTCACCCAGGCTGGAGTACAGTGGCATGATCTTGGCTCACTGCAACCTCCCAGTCCCGGGTTCAAGTGATTCTCCTGCCTCAGCTTCCCAGGTAGCTGGGATTATAGGCACGCACCACCAAGCCCAGCTAATTTTTGTATTTTTAGTAGAGACAGGGTTTCACCATGTTGGCTGGGCTGGTGTGGAACTCCCAACCTCAGGTGATCTGGCTGCCTCGGCCTGCCAAAGTGCTGGGGTTACAGGCGTGAGCCACAGCACCCGGCCAGGATAGGTTCTGTTACTGATTTAATTTCCTCACTCATTAGCGTTTTCAGATTTTCTATTTCTTCATTGTTCAATCTTGGAAGGTTGCATGTGTCCAGGAATTTATTCATTTTTTTTTAGATTATCCAATTTGTTCGTGTAGTATTGTTCACCATAGTCTTTTATAATTCTTTGCATTTCTGTGGCATCTAAAGTTTTGTCAGTTTTATGTTTTCAAACATGATCTTTTCTTTTTATTGATGTTTTGTATTTTTCTGTCTGTATTTCATTTATTTCTGCTTTGATCTTTCTTATTTACTTCCTTCTACTAATTTTGGGTTTAATTTGTTCTTGTCCTTTTTTATTTTTTGAGATGGAGTCTCTCTCTCTGTCTCCCAACTGCCCAAGATGGAGTGCAGTGGCATGATCTCAGCTCACTGCAACCTCTGTCTCCTTAGTTCAATTGATTCTTTTGCCTCAGCCTCCCGAGTACCTGAGATTACAGGTGTGTACCACCAGGCCCAGTTAATTTTTGTATTTTTAGTAGAGACAGGGTTTCACCATGTTGGCCAGGCTGGTCTCGAACTCCTGACCTCAAGTGATCTGCCTGCCTCGGCCTCCCAAAGTGCTGGGATTACAAGCGTAAGCCACGCTGCCCAGCCTGTTCTTGTTTTTCTAGTTCCTTGAGGTGTGTCATTAAGTTATCATCTTTCACTTACATTTCAACAAATGTAAGCATTTATTGATATAAACTTCTCTTTTAGAACAGCTTTTTCTGTATTCCAAAGACTTTGATATGCTGTCTTTCTATTTGTCTCAAGGAATTTTTAAGTGTCCCTTTTAATGTCTTCATTGATCCATTGGTTGTTTAGGAGCATATTGTTTAATTTTCATTAAACAATATTTGTAAAGTTTCTGAATTTCTTCCTGTTGTTGATTTCTAGTTTTATAACATTGTGGTCAGAAAACATATTTAAAATGATTTTGATCTTTTAAAATTTGTTAAGGCTTGTCTTGTGCTGTTAAGAAAAACGTGTATTCTGCAGTTGTTGGGTGAAATATTCTGTAAATATCTGTTAGGTCCAATTGGTCTATTGTGTGGTTTAAATCCAATGTTTGTTTATTTTCTGTCTGGATGATCTGTCCATTGCTGAGAGTGGGGTGTTGAAGTTGAAGTTCATGATTATTACTATATAGCAGTCTATTTCTTTCTTTAATCTAATAAATAATTGCTCTTTATATTTGGGTACTCTAGTGTTAGGTGCATACATATTTACAATTTTTTTTTGTTGAATTAACCCATGTATCATTATATAATGATCTTCTTTGTGCTTTTTTGTGATTTTTGATTTGAAGTCTATTTTATCTGGTATAAGTGAAGCTACTCCTGGTCTCTTTTAGTTTCCATTTGCAAGTGATATCAATTTTTCATCCCTTCACTTTCAGTCTATATGTCTTTACATGTGAAGTGAGTTTCTTATAGACGTCATATAGGTGAGTCTTGCGTTTTTTTCTTTCCCCCATTTGGCCACTCTATATCTTTTAATTGGAAAATTTAATCTATTTCCATTCAAGATTATTACTGACAGGTAAGAACTTACTCCTGCCATTTTGTTAACTGTTTTCTAGATACTTTGTTTCTTTCTTCTACTTTTATTGTTTCCCTTTGTGACTTGGTGGTTTTCCATAGTGATAAGCTTTGATTCATTTCTCTTTTTGATTTGTGTATCTGCTGTAATTTTTTTCTTTGTGGTTATTCTGGGGCTTATGTAAAAAGAACTTAGAATATTTTAAGCTGATAACAACTTAACTTTGGTCACATACAAATATTCTAGACTTTCCCTTCCCCCATCCACAATTCATAATTTCCTTCAGGTCATTATTTTAAATTCCTTTTCAGGCAATTTATAAATTTCCATTTCTTTAGGGGTCAGTTACTGGAGGATTCTTCTGCTTCTTTGATGGTGTCATGTTTCTTTGCTTTTTCATGTATCTTGTATCCCTGTATTGATATTTGTGCATCTGATGGAATGGTCAACTCTTTTAATTTTATGGAGTGACTTTTGAAGGGAATGACTTTCACCAGCAGATGTGTCTGAGGGTATTGGTTGGGTAGGGTACATTGGCTTTTGCTCTATGTGTGTGCAGTAGTGTAGTCTCTGCAGGTTTTTAAGCTGTAGTCAACTTTATTGATAACCTCTGAAGGCCTTGGTGTGGCTAGTTTGCTGGCTCAGGACAGGTCACCCCTGGAAACAGCACACTTGGCTGGTGAGCACAAGAACAAATCCACTGGTTAAGGTGGGGACCCGCTGTGAGATGCATACATGGCTGGTGAGCATGCAGCAGCCAGTCTGCCAGCTTGGGTTAGGGATTCTCTGGGGGCAGTGTACTTGGCTGGCAAGCATGGGGCTTGGCTTGCCAACTCAGAGCAGAAGTCCCCTGAAAATGACATGCCCAGCTGGTGAGCTTACTGGTGGTATATGCGGACAGGTCTGCCAGCTCAGGTTGGGGCATCCTTAGAAGTAGTGCACCCAACTGTTGAGTGCACCAGGGACATGCAGGGGCTGGTCCACTGGTTTGGGTGGGACTCGCTTTGGAATGGTGCATTCGCTGGTGAGCATGCTGACTGCTCATGAGGCCAGTTTGGACTTGGTTTCTCTGCTGATCAAGATTGTCTGTTCCTTTGAGGGCAAGGTGCTATATGGGCTTCATGGATGGGGCACTGGATCTAGGCTCTGAGAGACAGGGTTCAGGGTGCTGCAGTCACTAGGATGTGAAAGGTGGAACACCTCCTAGGAGCTTGTTCCCAGGGGGTAGGGAGCTGTAGCAACTCAGCAAGGGAATGGTGTACTACTGTGTGTGAAGGTAGTGTAATGGCAGTGTAGCCTTAGGAATGAAAAGAGATGGTGGCTACTGGCCCCTGGAACAGGATGTACTCTAGTTGTGGCTCTGGTTTCAAAATGGCATCATATAGCTGCAGCTTGAATCACAGGGATGAGGGGATACAATGTGGGCTCCTTCTCTGGGGCATTGCAGCCATGTGGCTGTCAGGCAGCTCCCTAAACTGGACTCAGGGTCTGTAGAAACTGCAGGATTCTCAGCAACAAAGAGTGCAGATGTCTGTGACATTAATGGGGGCTGCTGGGGCCTCTTGCTTGCCTAGTCCCCACTGGGGATGCATCTCCTTGTTCTGAGCTAATACTGGCTGGGGAGATGGCGGTGTGGCAGAGGCAGAGTGCTTCATTCTCTTCTCTATGTGACCCTCACTAAAGGTCTCCTTGTCTCACAGGATTTCTGTCTCTCTCCTACTGTATTCCAGTGTGCTCCCTCAAACACTCCAGTTCAAACATACTTTCTTATTTGTTGTTTTGGCTCTTTTTTTTGGTGGGAAGTATGAGCATTCGGCTTCTCTAGTCGGCTCTCTTGCTTTGCCCTGGCTGGGCTTTTCTATGGAAATCTGTGAGGTATATGCTGAGAGTATGTGCATCAGAAAGTTTTTGCCTTCGTTTCTGTAAAGTATCATAGGGCGTTACCAACCTAGTATTACTTTTTATGTTAATGACTTCACTTGGTGTTTCTTGATTTTTGAATTCTGTGATTTCTCAGCTTTAAATACTCAAGAGAGCCTTTTCGTTTATACCATAAGAAGGCCAGACTTAGGCGAATTTCTTAGCATCATCCTATATTAGTAGGCAGATTTATTTTTGTTGTTCACTTTTTTTTTTTTTTTTTTTTTTTTTTTGAGACGGAGTCTCGCTCTGTCGCCCAGGCTGGAGTGCAGTGGCGCGATCTCGGCTCACTGCAAGCTCCGCCTCCCGGGTTCACGCCATTCTCCTGCCTCAGCCTCCCGAGTAGCTGGGACTACAGGCGCCCGCCACCACGCCCGGCTAATTTTTTGTATTTTTAGTAGAGACGGGGTTTCACCGTGTTAGCCAGGATGGTCTCGATCTCCTGACCTCGTGATCCGCCCGCCTCGGCCTCCCAAAGTGCTGGGATTACAGGCGTGAGCCACCGCGCCCGGCCGTTGTTCACTTTTTTACTGGAGGTGTTACCTTTGAAGGTGCTCACTTTATGTAAGGTCTCAGTTCCAACACCTGGCTCCTGCAAGATCAGGCTTTGTCTCCAGTTCTTGTATTACCATTACAATATGTTTAATTTTCTGGTTTTATGCCTTTTAGTCTCTTTTTATTAAGCACTGGGATTTCCTTTACTTTTTTTCAAAGCTCTTCTTTGCATGCTGTTTCATATTCTGCACAGTGTAACTGGTTTTGTAGTGAGAGGTTTTTCAGGTTATCTAGTCTGCTGTATTACATAAGTTCTATGTAGGAATGCACAAATGTACACATACAGAGAATACACCTCTTAAACTTGAAAAATCTTTTCTATCATAAAAATGTCATGCATATTAAACAACTGTGAAGGAATTGTCAGTGGCTTAATATGTTGATAGATTGACACTGTGTGGGAAACAGCTGAGAATATTAGGGGTTATTTTTATAATGCCACCTCAGGCTTTAATATCAGATTCATAGAAGTGTGTTTAGTTAGTAAGCCATGTAGTGAATTGAGTATATAACCTTATCTACTGGCCAAAAATATGCTATTTTTCCAGAATATAGTGTGTTTAGTTAGTAAGCCATGTAGTGAATTGAGTATATAACCTTATCTACTGGCCAAAAATATGCTATTTTTCCAGAATATAGTTCAGGAAAAAAAGTTTTATCTATTGTAGCAAAAATATAAGAAAATCACAAACTTTAAAACACATATAAATTGCTGTTTTGTGAGCCTAGATGATGTCCATTAGCAGCAGGATTATGCTGTACTCAAGGATTATAATCACCAAAGGCTTATAAAGGAATGCTTAGTTTTCTTAAATTCTTACTGTCATGGTGAAGCTCTGGTACAATATTTTTGACAAGAAAACAAACACTGAAATGCTGATTAAAATTAGACTGTAAATAATCCCAGTAAGTTGTCCTAAAATGAAAGCGGTACCTCGGATATCAGCCCTCAGGAATATTACAATTGTATTTTTATAATGCAAAATACAGAATAAGTATTCTGCAAGCTAAATCCTTAGAAAAGACTACTAGTATGGAAATGAAATCAAATTCTGTCTTTCTTGGATTTCTTATTATGAAGATATTGAGAAAGTTGATTGGTTTCTGTAACTGTCCTCAAATCTCGTTTTCTTAATGAGGCTCACCTTGCCCACCCTCTTTGCATTATTAAATGTAATCTGCAATTCCCCATCACCCCCTCCTTACTGCCTGGTATACCCATTCCACTTAGCCTGCTCTACTTTCTTTCCTATAGCATTTAATCTCTTCTCATATATTACACTATTTATAAGTTTATTATGTGTAGTGTTGTTTGTCTGTCTTCTCCCACTAGAAAGTTAAAATCTACCAAGGGCAGGGATCTTGGTGTGTTTTGTTTACTATTGTATCCCCAATGACTACAGTAGTACCTGTCACATAGTAGGTGTTCAAAAATGACTTGGGTGTGAATGAATAAGGTTTTATTTATCTGCTTATAAATTAGGGTGATAATTCATGGCCCCTTATTTCTTTTGTGGGTACAAATTAGATATGTATATGCCAAGTATATTGACTTGTCTGAAAGAAAGTTGACATTCATAGGATAATAGCACTTATTATATTTGGGATGTATTAAGTGACTTAGCCTTTAAATGTCTCAGAGTTTCCATCTTAAATCTAAGTCCATGGCAATTTTACTAACACAGTATCTCTTCTATAGCAACAGAACACATATAACATTCAGAACTTGATTAAAGATCATACCTCATTTTTTTCTTTGAGTTTTGTGATCATAACAATCACAGGGCTGTCTTCCTGCCAAACCATCTGCCAGAAATCATCCACGGTGTTGATCATGGGGCCCTGCGTGGCAATGAAGGCTTTCTCCTTGCCACTGTAGCCCTAGATGGAGTAAAGAAACAAAAATATTGGTTTTTAAGTTCATGCCTTGCAGTGAAAGTGTAGGTGAAAGATCTTCAACGAAATAGCTGGGCTAGTACAAAAGCAACACAGGTTACGGCTTCACTGACTCTAGTACAACAATTTCCATGGGTATTTTGGCAGCAAGTTAAGGATAGCACATGGTACTGAGGGTTGTAATGCCCAGTCCCCAGCAGAGTACCCATATAGAGCACTGTTGCCAGAGACTCACAGTGAAAGGAAAGTCATCATAAAAGACCCATTAACAATGTTGATTATGACTAAGATAAAAAACCAAACAAAATGAAATCTTGCTGGTAATCAAGTTAAACCAAGCTTAATCTACTCTAGGAAAAAGAAAATAAAACCAACAATTCCAAATAGGAAGTCACCAGAAAGAAATTTGTACTTATTTACTTACCCTAATATAATTAGCATTAATGTAGGTGCTCAATGAATCGGTTACATTTTTTGGTCTTAAACACACTCTGCTGAGGGGATCTAATGAAGAAAACAAAAAAGAATATATTAAACAGATTTACCCTTTTTAAAGTTCCTTAGAATGCCAATAACCAGTAAGTAGAAACCTGTTATGTATTGATTATCTGGTGCATGTCAATGTTTGTCTTTGGTGTCCATTGCTTGATCCATATGTTTATTGAGGGACATTTGGGCCTGTCTTCACTCCTGACATAAAGCTCATCCATAAGCCTAAGCTGATGAGTTTATATTTCAGGCCATTTCTCATCTGTTCCGGTTCTCGACCTCATTTCTCATTTTTGCGCCCACTCTTATACTTTTGATCTGGAATTTGTACCAGGTCTCCTCACTCCCATCTCTCTCCTTTCCCTATGGAGGTAAATCAGGCTATACTCTACCAATTATTTATATTTTACTATCTCATCTCATTTAGACCCTCAGGTCTGAACCTCACCTTGTCTGACCATTATGTCCTGGCCAGATCTCCTGATCTTCCGAGATGGATGAGATTAATAATCTATTACGTGCTATCTGTGTGAGGATAGGCAAGCCAGGGGAAGAGGGAGGTTGCAAAGATAAAGATAAACATGATTCATTTCGAGGCTGGGCACAGTGGCTTACACTGTAATCTCAGCACTTTGGGAGGCTGAGGCAGGAGGATCCCTTGAGCCTGGGGCTTCAAGCCTAGGCAACATAGTGAGACTTCATCTCAAAAAAAAAAAAAAAAAAAAAAAAAAATTAGCCAGGCATGGTGGCTTATGTCTGTGGTTCCAGCTACTTGGGAGGCTGAGGCATGAGAATTGCTTGAACCCGAAAGGCCAAGGTTGCAGTGAGCTGAGATTGTGCCACTGCACTCCAGCCTGGACAACAGAGGGAGAGCCTGTCTCAAAAACAAAAACGAAACAAAACAAAACAAAACAAAAAACTATGATTCATTTCAGTGAGTTTTCAGTCTGCTCATAAAATAACAAACAACATACATTTATTGTTTATTAGATGTCAGAGTCTGTTCTCATTGCTTTACAGATATTATATCATTTAATTTTCTTGTAACTTTAATAAAAGTACCTAAGATAATGGGTAAGACTCCTTCCCCATTTTTCAGATAGGAAACTAAGATAGGTTAAATAATTTGCCCAAAGGTACACAGCCAAGAAGTAGGTAATGGAGTCAGGCTTTGAATCCACACGAACACTAGGGTACCATTAGCCACTACGCTGTGCTGCAGCTCTCATGCGAAGATAGCTATGTAAGCTGACGATTAAAATACAAAATGTTATATCCTAGTGGTTGCTTAGTTACTTTCTTAAAAAACAGCAAATTCAATGCTTTTCAGCTTCCTTTCTCAGTGGAGTGTGGTGTAAAAACAGGGGTGCAGCAAAGAAAAACTTCTCCCATTCCCATATTTTTTTAGTAACACACTATCATTGAACATCTTCTGGGTAAACACAATCTCTTACGTTCCCCACGAAAACTGAGACAAAGAGGAGGTGAGGTAGGAAGTACTAGACGAAGAAAGTTTCATAGAATATATTTAAATGGGAGCTAAAAATAATTAAAAATTTAACAGGACTTGGCAAGCCAACATTTGTTTTAAATTTCACTTTATATATAACTGGGGTTAAAGATAATAAAGGCCATAATTAGTTTCAGAAAAAGGCTAACCAGCCCATGAGGACGGTGATGGTTTAAAAATGTAGTCATCCAATTATCTGACACTCCTTCTAAAAGAATGTAGTAGAGACTAATTCCTCTCATCTTGAATGTGGGCAGAAATTAAATAGAATATGGCAGTAGGGATGGTGTGTGACTTGGTCATAAAAGGTATTACAGTTTCCTCCTTGCGCTCTTTCTTGAGTTGCTTGCTCTGGAGGAAGCTAATGGCCATATTTTGAGGGCACTCAAGCAGCCCAATGAAGAGAGAAATAGTGGGGAACTGAGGCCTCCAGCTGATAGCATATGAATGAGCCCTCTTAGAAGCAGATCCCTCAGTGCCAGCCAAGTGTTCAGCTGACCAAAGGCTTGGCCAACAACTCAATTGAAATCTCATGAAAGACCTTGAGCCAGACACTCAACTAAGCCACTCCCCAATTCCCGGCACACAGAAATTGTGAGATATAAATGTGTATTGTTTTAAGCCACTAAATTTTGGGGTAATTTGTTCCATAGCAATAAATAGGTAATATAGGGACCAATAAGGAGTCAGTCACAAAACTCTGGAGTGATATCATGATCACTGTTATTGTCATTGCACTCATTGTTGACTCCTATATGTGTCAGGTAGAGCAGGTAACAGCATTTTATTCATTAGGTCACTTAATTATTACAATTCTATAACGTACATACTGTTAACAGTCTCTTTATTTAGATTAGGAAATTGCAGCACAGAGAGGTTAAGTAACTCACCCAAGGTCACACAGTAAGAAATGAAGCAGAGAGTTGAAACCAGATTACCAAACTTAGAATTTAACAAGGCCATTATCAAAGATGATGTTGAAAATATATAGTAAAATTTTGCTAATTTGTCACTAGGATATTTGAAATAAAGATATTTTATATATATGTTATATATATAAATAAAACAAGTAATAGGAGCTTCTATCCAAGGATGGATAAAGTAGATTTGAGCTATAAGGGATCTGGCTTTGGCAGGAGAAAGTCCCATTCTGCTTAAAGCTTTAGATTGACTTGTGAAGACCAAGATGCTTATCTGATCTTATAGGCCACAGGTAAAATAGCTCCTGATCATGCCATATGGAAGCAATGTCTAGAAGATGTTAATAAATTCTGGAAATCAGTGGGAAGACCCTTAGGTGGCATCCAAGAATCCTGTTGATCGAGGCAGGCTTTCATTCAGTTTGAACCAAAACACTTTGCAAAAGATCCTAGCATGTCCTTTTGGGTGACCTAAAGGAAGTAGGGTGACTACAGAGAAACTTACAGTGGAACAGGTAAGGACTGTTCGAATCAGGATATAACCTAACTGTGAACAAGGAATTGTGGTCCTATGCTCATCAGCATGGAAATCTCTTGAGACATGGGCTTTGAACTTATCAAAATTCCTCCTCAAGAGATATGTTGGGGCTACTGGTACTGAAGCAAACTACCCTCTTTAAAGCATTCTGGAAATAAGTCCAATCTCAGTCTTGTCCTTCAGAGCTTTCAAAATGTAGACCCTATGGAGATGGAAGCTAGCACCAAACTTTCAAAAGCACTTCATTTTCCCCCAAATCTCATACAGTCTTAACAGATCTATCTCTACATTTCCTACAATTGTTGGTCAGGGGCAGACTGACCCTCACTTGCATGAGCCATTTTCAATAAGAACCTTGTATCTTATTTTGTATTCATAATGTTGTATTCATTTTTTAAGAGTGTCTTCCAGGGCAAAGTTCCATGACATTGATGTGGGCAAAAATTTCTTGGATATGACCCTGAAAGCACAATGAAAGCAAAAATAGACACAGGGGATTGCATCAAACTAAAAAGCTTCTGCACAGCAAATCCACAGATTGGGAGAAAATATTTATAAATCATACCTTAAGAAGGGGCTAATATCCAAAATATATCAGAAACTCAAACTACTCAATAACAAGAAAATAATCGTATTAGAAAAGGGATAAAGATTTGAATAGACATTTCTAAAAACAAGACATGCAAATGTCCAACAGATCTACGAAAAAATGTTCCACATCTCAAATCATCAGAGAAATGCAAATTAAAACCACAGTATCACTTCATACCTGTTAGAAGGGCTATTATCAAAAAGATAAAAGATAAATGTTGGCAAGGTTGTGAAGAAAAGGGAGCTCTGGTAGGCTGTTGGTGAGAATGTAAATTAGCATAGCCATTTTGGAAAACAGTATGGAGATTCCTCAAAAACTATGAATGAACTACCATATGATCCAGCAATTCCACTTCTGAGTATATATCCAAAGGAACTGAAGTCAGTATGTTGAAGGCATTTCTGCACTCCTATGTTCTTGCAGCACTATTTACAATAGCCAAGGTTTGAAAACAACTGGAGTGTCCATCAACAGATGAATGGATTTTAAAAGTATGGTCTATATACATAATGGAGTTCTATCTGGCCTTTAAAAAGCAGGAAATTCTGTCATTTGTGACAACATAGATAGACTTCACAGATATTATGCTAAATGAAATAAGCCAGGCACAGAGAGACATGATCTTCTTTATGTGTGGAATCTAAAAAAGTTGAACTCATAGAAATAGAGAGTAGAATGGTGGTTACCAAAGGCTAGGTGGGTGGGTGAATGGGGAAAGGGGAGATGGTGGTCAAAGGATACAAAATTTCAGTTAGGAGAAATAGGTTCTGGCGATCTATTATAGACCATGGTGACTATTGTTTAATAATAATATTATATATTTCAAAATAGCTGAAATAATGGGATTTTAAATGTTCTCACCACAAAAAATAAATAAATATTTGAGGTAATGGATACATTAATATTAGCATGATATGATCATTCCACAATGTATACATGTATCAAAACATCACATTTTACCCCATAAATATATACAACTGTTATTTTCAATTAAAAATAAAATAAAACCTAAAGAGTAATCTCCAAATAATATAAGCTTTAGCTCCCCTCCCTTCCAAAAAACTAAATCTACCCTTGTTGGTAAAACCTCTCAGTCTGCATAAAATCTATTACACCCTTTGTAATGTAGAAAGACTTCTGCTAGACTGCTTTTTGTTACCTTATCTTTTTCCTCCAAGGGGTCTTGAACACCTGTGGAGCTGAATTTTAACATTGAGAGTGAAATTATTCCATTGTTTATACGTATCTTCCGTCAATCCTATTGATCAAAACTCTTGGCAGATCACAAAATAACAAACAAGGAGGAGAAGCCACAGTGGAGCAAACAACATTTATTGCACACTCTCCACCAAGAATCTCATGGAGGAGGTTCCCTGCTGGGAGCCTTTGGCTATACAGCGCCCTAAAAGCTTCTTGCCAAGCATGCTCCGTGCTGTCTGGCATTTTTGCTGTCAATAGCTGGAGCACACAATAGTACGCATATCCAAATATGTACTTTAAGAGCTAGTCGTCTCCTAGTAGTCACCATCCCTGTCTTTCTTTAGCAATAAGATCCCAATTCTGGCTGAGAACTTGGTAGGATGCACAGCTTAAGACTTCCCTTCTTACCACCCCTTGCATTAGTTGCGGCCATGTGACTAAGTTTTCACTTATAGCAGGTGAGAGGAAGTGATGCGCGTGACTTTTAGATCATGAAATTAAAGTGAGGAGTGATGTTCTTCTTCTACCACTTCTGATTCCATCTTGCTGCCTGGGATGTGGTCATGGTGATCAGGATCTTAGACCATGCAAAGGTAATACCCTAGGGATGGCGAGGTAACCAGAGAGATTAGTCTGGAGGTATAACATGGCAAAGCTGCCATATCAACCCTGGCAGGTATACTTGAGAGGGAAAAACACTTTTAAATTATTTAAACCACTGTTATTTGGGTTGTGGTTAATAGTATATATAAGTTTTCTGGCAAAAATATTTCAGAAAAGAATAGTATTATCACAAAATCAGTTCTGCCTAGGGAGGCATTAATAGAATAGGTACATCCCAAACATCTGGGGTTTGTATATATTCAGAAGTCAAATTCAGGGTTTCTTAGAGTTGGAGTTCGCATGTCCAATAATTATCACGATCTATAAAAAATAACGTTTTAGCAACATAACAAAAGGTAATCATCATTTTAGTCTAAAACTAAGCCCTCAGGCCCCATAACATTGCCATTAGAATGCACGCAGTGATTAGTTCAGTCTGGATAGCCCTAAATTGCTTATTGCACTGATTTCCTTTCTTCTGACCTACAACAAACACATGGCCTGGACAGAAGTCTTTTTCACTATTTGGAAGAAGCTGTCTTTAGTTAGCATATGTAGCGGTTTGTTCACTGACAGCACAAGTATCTGATATTGGTTAGATTCGTTTAGTGCTAGCAACATTGTCTTAAATTCTAAAATCACTTTCCATCAAGAGTTGAAAGACTCTTTGTGGACTAAAGTGTTACGGAAAATGTGGAAATTATTTTTACCATCATTTGCATACATTAATATTACTAATTCGTCTCTTTATGATTTCTTTGACCTGGTACACTCTGAGCTTTTTGAAGGCAGGGATGGGGATTTTTCACCATCTTTATAAGATCTAATGTCTTGCATAGCAGACCTTCAGTGAATGTCTACTGCACTGATTTAAAGATCTCTTCTATTTTTTAAAAAAAGGTCAGTTCTATATATCCTTCTCTAGCAATTATTCTATTGCTTTTCTTTTTTAGACAGGCAAACTTCTGAAAGAGTTTATTATACACACACTTCCTCCATGCTCATCTGCAACTCAATCCTCCTCATGTACACTGTGATCTATCCTAACCCTAGCACTGTGCAGAGACTGCCCTTGCTAAGGTCACCACTGACCCTCTTGTTGTTAAGCCCAGTGATCCCATTGTGGTATTTTTGTTCATGTCCTCTCTGAAGCATTCAAAAACTGTTGACTGTATATCCTTTTTTCGAGTTTTCTCTTCCCTTAGATTCTGGGACACAACGTTCTGGTTTTCCTGCTCCCTTTTCGGTGGCCTCTTTCCAATCTCCTGCTCATTTAATCTGCCCCTTTTCATGTTGCTAATTCTAGGATTCAACTTGACCCTCTTTTATCCTCACTTGATACTGCCTTGTTGAGTGACTCATTCATTCCTGTGACTTTATTACGCACATCCTGAGGGCTCTCAAATACATACTTCAGACCAGCCCGGTCTCCTCATTTATAGTCCAGCTTTTTCTATTTATTATTTCCTTCTGAATGGACCACAGGTTTGTGAAACTCCTCATGCCCTTCATGTGTTCCTGACAGCTTTCTGCTATTGTTTAGGTTAGGTGTGCTGCCACAGCTCTACAGTCCGTGTAGAGTTTCTGTGCATTTGAATGTTAGCATATTCTGCCTGTTCTGTCTCCTAAAATACGCTGGGGTCTGTCTTGCCTCTCTGTTTGCATGGCTGTCTTCTTGGACTAGGACTCAAGTATCTCCTGGTCTCCCTGCCTTCAATCTTGCTTTTTTCCAATCCATCCTCCTCATAGCTGTCAAGGTGCTCTGTAAAACAAAATCTGATCACATGATTCCATTGTCTAAATGTCATCCATACTTCCCAATTGCCCATAGCAGTATTTCCCAAAATATTTATTACCTGTAAATCATTACCTCTATAACATATAGAATTATACTATATGACTTATAAATTAAGTCATCTTTTACAAAAAGAGGTTAGTACCCAAATAAATATGGGAAACATTGGGTTAAACAAATCTGAACCATATTCTTTTTACTGCAGGACTTCTCAGGGTCTTCAGTATGTTAATGGACCCTGTGAATTTCCAAGAAGGTATTGTATATAATCCTATTTGTCCGTTGGACTCAATTTTATTATACCTACTGTATTTACATACTTAACTATTATATTTATATACTTATTGATAATTCAGTTTAGAGCAGCCCTGATCAATAGAATTTTCTGAGGTGATGAAAATATTATCTATCTGTGCTGTCCAAAAAATGTAGCCTCTAGCTTTCAAGCACTTGAAATGTGGCTAGTAAAAACTGAGAAACTAAAGTTTTAATTTTATTTAATTTTAATTCATTTAAGTGTAAACTGACCTAGCCATAAGTGGGTTCTGGTTGCTCTACTTGACAGTGCAGGCCTAGAAGATGAATGCCAAGAGGGGTACTTAGCAAGATAGAGCAGATCCTTAATGATCATCCCAAGGCCTCACCAACAGCTGCTTTCCCACGTGTATCATATAATCTAGCCCCATGGACCTAGGGCAATCTCCCAAATGTTCTATGTTTTTGCAGATTTTATGCTTTTGCACATATTGTTTCCTTTGCCTTCTCTGCATGGTAAAGTCTTCCTCATTACTCAGGGCTCAATTCAGAAAATACTGTCTTTCTGAAGTTCTCCCTGACCTTCCCAGGCAGAATTAGGCATTCTCTTCTTTGCTTGGGTCCCCTGAGTTTTATTTTAGTATTTATCATCTTGTATTTTAAGTGCTTAAATTTCTGCCTGCCCTCAATGGAGTGTGGTGAGCCCCTAGAGGGCAAAGGCTGTATTTAATTCACTTTTGTATCCTTTGTGATTTCTATTTGGGATGTGGCTCACAGAGGGTTTAATGTCAGAATTAATTTCTATGAGAAAGAGTTAAAGCCCTGTTTTTGACTTTCTAGATATTTTTTTCTTTTCTTAGCAAAGAGGACAAGAAATCTTTCATGCCTTTCAGTATCCACTGATTGTTAGAAGTTTCCATAAACATCCTACACCATTCAGGCTTGAAAAGAGGCCTGCTTCCTTCAGTTTTTATAATGCCTATGATGTATATGATTTACTGGTAAAGCTAAAAACTGCTTAGAAACAGTTTCCCTGTAAAGCTAAATTATGTTGGTAATTAGTAACTTACAGTATTTTCCAAGTATTTAGAAGTTTCCAAATCCTTTTTATTAAAAATTCAGAGAGGGGAGTCTCACTTTGTTGCCCAGGCTGAATTGCAGTGGCTACTCCCAGATGTGATCACAGCTCACTGCGACCTCAACCTCCCGGGCTCAAGTGATCCTCCTGCCTCAGCCTCCCAAGTAGCTGGGACCACACATGTGCACCACCATGCCTGGCTACATTTTGTATTTTTTGGTAGAGATGAGGTTTTGCCATGTTGCCCAGGCTAGTAATTAAACTTTTTTTGTGTGTGTGGAAATGGGGTCTTATTATATTGCCCAGGCTGGTCTCAAACTCCAGGACATGAGCCACTGTGTGTGGCTCCAACTACTTCCTTTTACAAATGCAAGAATACAACATATAACTGAGTATGGGGAAATGTAGGTTTCCAAGAAAAACTCTTGTAATATATAGCTTGTACTAAAAAAAAAAGCCAAGAATTAAACAAAAAATGTATAATCATCATCGTTTTCATCACTACTGTTATAAATGAATGAAAATGGGGCTCTTGAGTACTTTGCTTTTAAAACTGTAAACTTCTCTATACATAGATGGTACCCCTATTTCCTGGAATTGGTTCTGAGGTTAGAAATGGATTCATCTTCAGTTAGATAGGGAGGGAAAGAGAAACTAACATTAGCTGAGGGCTTACTATTAGTTGGAACTTTGACAGACATTTTACACATACTATCATTTAATTTTCTCGGTAGCCTTGTAGGAGAGTATTGTTATCACTACTTTTGGGAATAAAGGATGGCATAGGGAGATTAAATATCCTGCCAAAAATTATAAATGTTTTTGTTGGGGTAGGAAATCAAATCTAATTCCAGTATCTTGCTTTAGCTACATAACTTGTTGCTTTAATGAGTGGTTCACTTATTTGCATATCTACTCTGTGCTAGGTACTTTATATAATAAAAAAGGAAACATAATTTAAGTAGGAAACATTATTAGATGTTAAAATTTTAAATATAAAATGATGACCTGAGTAAATGGCATTCTTTAAGTGTATCTATATTATCTTATATTTGTATCAACACACTGCATAAAAGAAATATGCATACAATTTATTATTATAGTGCAGCACTATTCACAATAACAAAGACATGGAAACAACCTAGATGCCCATCAACAGTGGATTGGATAAAGAAAATGTGGTACACATACACCATGGAACACCATGAAGTCATAAAAAAGAACAAAATCATGTCCTTTGCAGCAACATGGATGCAGCTGGAGGCCATTATTCTAAGCAAATTAACACAGGAACAGAAAACCAAATATTGCATGTTCTCACTTATAAGTGAGAGCTAAATTCTGGATACACATAGACATAAAGATGAAAACAATAGTAACTGGGACTCCAAAAAAAGGGAGGGAGGGAAAGGGAGAAGGGCTGAAAATCTTCCTATTGGGTACTATGTTCACTCTCTGGGTGTCATGCCGTCAGAAGAAGCCCAAACGGCAGCATCACACAATATACCCTTGTAACAAACCTGCACAGGTACCCCCTGAATCTAAAGTAAAAATAAAAAATTTAAACTTATTATTACAGTATTTTATTGTGTGCTAATAATTTTCTATTGATGTATGATTATTATTACAGTATTATATTTTATTGTCTGCTAATAATTTTCTATTGATGTATGATTGTTTTTTCCTACTACTTTTGTGATTTAGGATGTAGACATATTTTTATCACTAATATTTGTTTACACTGCAAAATAATTTGATATAAACTTGACTTTAGCATTTTAATCTCAGCCAAGATAACACTGTCATTAGAGAAATGACTATAATTTAATTTATAATTATAAATTGATTTATTCATAATTGATTCTTGCCTATCCATATATCTGTTGCAAGGCATTCTCAGAATTGTATAATGTTGCTATTATGTACAAGCTGTCAAGCTTTTAGAACTAAGAAGAGTTTAGTGTAGGTTAAAACTAAAAACAATCATAATGTTTAAATTCTTGATCATTTAATAATCATCATTTTATGTAATATTTCAAGTTTATCTCATATTACAGTCTAAAACCATAAAGAACATCTTTGTGTATTCATTCCAGGCTTTTTGGATGCTTTCACCCAATAGTGTGGCTTTTCTAAGCTATATTTCCTAAATTATATTTTGTGCAACAGAGGGTGGTGGGTGGGGCATTCAGCCTGCAGACATTTTCAACAGAAAATCCATCATTTGCAACATCAGCTGTCAGCACAGGTGCCCTGAATCCAGCGGTCCACCCAGTTCTGTGAACGGAAAAACTGACACAGGACTATGAAGCAGTTGTCTGATATCATCTGGGCAGGAAATGGAGAAGGCTGAACTTTGAACTAATGCTAATAATTTCCAAATCCTTCTAAAATTAGATGATGGTTTGGGTATATATAATTGTGATGGAGGTATATTCCCTTATTACTTATGTTTGGTATATTTTAGATAAAAATTTAACAGAGAGAGAGAGAGGGAGAGAGAAAACACAAATTCTAACACGCAGCACTTTCATCCCCTTTGGCCAAGTATAGTCATAAAATAACCTTCAATGGTGACTCTACCTTAGGTAAATAAATTTAACTATATAGAGCAGTTAAAAATATGTTATAGTTTAACAATGTATTTCCAATTCCACCAGAAGGGGAAGGCCAAAGATAGTATTAACAGTAATTGTTTAATTACTTTATTACATCACCATTACTATGAATATAAAGAATTTGGTGTCTTATGAATGAATTAATGAACTAAATTATGAAGATTGCTATTTCAATGTCAAAAGTTAAAAAGACTTTGTGGCTCCATCTTTCCTGAGCTTTGTCGTGAGATGTTTACTGATTTTGCCAAAACTCCAACTATATCTGTTTGTTTAGTCATAGAAAATATTACTTCCTCTCCATTTTTTTTTTTTTGCCTAATTTCTCTGGACAGAATTAATTACTCAGTCCTCTCTGAACTCCTACACTGCTTGGGCAGTATCTTTATTCTGGCCTATGCACTGAGCATAATTACCATTTATATGACTCTCGTTTCTAGTCTGTGACCTCCTTGATTTTATAGACTGTTTCTTATTTCTTACTGGTCCCTGGCATTCAGGTCATTGCTTGACGTTAATAAATTCCATGAAGCTCAATCTAGTTTCACATATAGTAGTGGTTCTCAAAGTGGATCCTGGTTTCATCTGGATTGGAATCACCTAGGTGTTTGCTAAAAGTAGTTTTCTGTGCTCAACAGCAGATCTACTTAAACAAAATCCCTGGGGTTGGGCACAGGACTAACAAGGACTCCAGGTCATTGTCATGCACAGCAACATTTTTTTGGTAATAGTTTTATTGAGAAATAATTCACATTCCATACAATCCCCCCATTTCATGTGCCATCACAGCATTTTTTTTTAAATTTTCACAGAGCTGTGCAACAATCACTGTAAATCAATTTTATAACATTCAATTAGCCCCAAAATAAATACAGGTCCTTTAGCAGTCATTCTCCATATCCCCTAATGCTAAGCAACCACTAAGATATTTTCTGTCTGTATAGATTTAGCTATCTGGACATTTCATATAAATGGACTACAAAATATGAGGTCTTTTGTGCCTGGCTTCTTTCACTTAGCATGATGTTTTCAAGGTTCATTCAAGGTTCATCAGTGCCTTGTTCCTTTTTATTGATTCTATTGTGTGACTATACTACATTTTATCTATCCATTTCTCAGCTGATGGTTGCCACTCTTTGGCTATTATGAATAATGCTGTTATAAATATTTTTGTATCATTTTTGTGTGAACACATTTCATTTCTTTTAGGTAATATTTACCTAGAAGTAGAGTGTCCAGGTCATATAGCAACTCAGTTTTATCTTTTAAGGAACTGCCAAACTGTTTTCCTAAGTAGCTGTAGCTGTACTTAAAACTGTAGTGTTAAGTTTCCAATTCTCTACATCCTTGCCAGCATTTTTTATTGTCTATTTTTAAAATTATAGTTATCCTCATGGATATAAAGTACTATCTTGCTGTAGTTTTGATTTCACTGATGGCTAGTGATGTTAAACATCTTTTAATATGCTTGTTGGTCATTTGTACATCTTCTAGGGAGAAATATCCATTGAAATCTTTTGTCCATTTTTTGGGTTGTTTGTGTTTCTATTATTGAGTTGTAAGATTTGCGTATTGTAGCTACATGTCCCTTATTAGATACATGATTTGCAAATATTTATTTTCTTCCATTCTATGAGTTGTCTTTTCACTTCCTTGAAGGTATCCTTTGAAGCACAAAATTTTTAGTATTAATGAAGTTCAATTTTTTTTTGCTGCTGTTTGTGCTTTTGTTGGCTTATCTAAGAAACCACTGACTAATTCAAGGTCATAAAGATTTACAGCTGTTTTCGTTTATGAGTTTTGTAGTTCTAGCTCTTATGTGTAGGTCTCTGGTCCATTTTGAGTCAATTTTTGTCTTCAACTTCATTTTTTTGCATGTGGATATCTGGTTGTTTCTGCTCCATTTGTTGAAAAGACTCTCTTTTTCCCATTGAATTGTTTGACCCTTGACAAAAATCAGGTAGCCATAATGTGTGGCACAACAAAATTTTAGAATATGTGTCTATTGGAATTGTGACCTGGACATTATAATAAGAGTAAAAAGGTAAAATCATTAACTTCAGATAGTTTTAATGATTATTAGTCTTGACATGTGTTTGTAATTCCAAATTTGATATGAAGTGGGTGTTGTAAGAATTGGAAATGCTGAGGTAAGGGTTAATGGGAAGACTTGTCTTGTGCTTTACAATGTAAATTATTATTATTATTTATACTTTAAGTTCTGGGATACATGTGCAGAATGTGCAGGTTTGTTACATAGGTATACATGTGCCATTGTGGTTTGCTTTTGCTGCATCCATCAACCCATCATCTACATTAGGTATTTCTCCTAATGGCTATCCCTCCCCTTGCCCCCCATACAATGCAAATTATAAAATCAAGAAGCTTACTTGGTAAAATGGTCTTATAGCGATTTTTAGTTCCATGACGCGGAATATCAATTTCTTTGGGATCCACAAAGTTCATTGGTATTTCCTGCAAAAATAAATAATATCAAATTAGTGTATCTAATACTGCCACAAAGAAAATCTTCACAGGGGGGCATCTGATCCAGAGTTCTATTGGACTTCAAAGCCACTTAAAAACAACAGATCTAGCACCTCTGGTGGACCAACACCCTTCCTTTCCTAAACATATCAGCTGCATCCGGACAAGCTGACTTCTAAGAAACAGCTCTGTGTGTTAGAAAATATTGCTTAATATGTAGTCAGTAAGGAGACATATAACACTGGTTAGATTTTAAGAATCCTGCTGTGACATAATTGCTAGAAAGATTAGACAGATGCTAAAAAGTGAATTTTTTTAAAAAACAATGTATTCAAATATATTCCAGTTTTTACATAACTTTAGTACCAAAAATTTTACTATAATAGATTATCTTTTCACACTAATAGTGACTCTTTTAGGATTATTAAAACCTCTTTCCCAAAATGGTAAATATAAAGGGCTTTTTTGTTAATTCAAGTGATGACATGACTTTTTTTTGAATTAAGAAATGGTTTATAACTGGACTGTTCCATTTTAAGTTATAAATGCACTGTTTTTAGTGAAGGGCATTCAAACACTGTTTCTCCCACTTAAGAACATTACTATTCTTATTTTATCAGAGTATACATTATATGCCTCAAGTGATTGGACAGGGAACAATAGGAAAAGAGTGGCTGTATGTAAGTGCATTAGATCTAAAAAGGTGTGTATCTGTAGCTAACCAGGACAAATAAAGCAACAAGCCAAAGTTTTCAAAAGGGTCCAAACAAACATTTGTTTAAAGATTTGATTATACAAAATAGTATGTTCTCTAACTTTGATAAGATTAACATGAACAAAATAACTTTTATGTTATTTAATGACTGATAAACATTAAATATTTGATCAAATAAGATATTTTTACTACTTAAACTTTCTCCAGTAGAAAATTTAACTTAACAGTCTAATATTGATTGAAATAGAAGAAATCATCTTTAAATTCATTCAAATTATCCTAGTTTTCAGTCATTCTGAAAATTTGAGAAAAGCTGGACTATACTATGAATTTGAGGCTTGTTCTACAGAGAGAAACAGCTATTCGTTTATTAATTAATTTATTTTTAGAGATGGGATCTCACTCTGTCACCTAGGTCAGTGTGCAGTGGCACAATCATAGCTCACTGTAACCTCAAACTCCTGGGCTCAAGGCATCCTCCCATCTCAGCTTCCTGAGTAGCTGGGATTACAAGCATGAGCCACAACACCTGGCCCCAAGTTACTTATTTTTAAAATAATTTTTCCTTTACCTGCATTATGCTAGCTATCCATGATATTTATCCCTATTCTCTGCTCCAACTAAATGTTTTAACCTGTTTGTTCCAAGTTATAAAAATAAGCAAAATTGTTGAATATTCAATGGAAAACACATGTTCATGTTTGGTAATTTCAAGCACGTCAGTGTCTTTGGGCAAAGCCACAAAGGTAATATCTTTATTCCTCCCCTTCTTCCTTCTCACCTTCTGTTTTCTGACACACACTGACAGTCTGTCATCTTCCAGCATTCTCTTTCTCCTGTGTACTCCTTCTGGCCTTCAATTTCCTTTCAGGAAAGTGGGCTATGGTAAGGTCTTATTTCATAAACAAAGAGCTGTCTGCAGTTCTAGAAAAAAAAAGCTCTAGGTGTGCCTTTGGCTAGCTGTGTGACCACTGACTTGTTCTTTCATTCCTACAGGTCTCATTTTCTTCACATGTAAAATATGATACACCACAGAGTCTGATTTTCATGTTTGTATTTTACTTTGGACACTTAATAATAGTTGATGGGGCTAATAGTAGATCCAACCCATTGCTGAATCTGTCACCATTAGGATGGCTGCAAATGCCTGAACTAATAATCAATTTATTGTACTCAACCAATACGGCTTAAGATGCAAGAGGTGATCAACAAAGTCAATATTCTCCTTGGGCAACAATTAGACCTAAGAAGGTTTAATCTTACTTCATGTTCTCTGAGTTGATGTATGTTATCATGCTTTAAGCTTTCACTAGCAACACTGGTATGTCTAAAACTGAATTCATCATTCTTTTTAGCCCACACTTGGTCTTCCTCCTGTGTTCCTTATTTCGTTAAAGGGCACCATATGCACCCTGTTGGCCAAACCAAAAACACGAATATCAATCCCTGACTTTTCCATTACTTTTGGCTGCCTCATTCAATTAATCCCACTTCTTGTAGATTCCTACAGATTCTTTCCATTTTCCCTTCTACTATATTAGTTTAGGCCACCAACGCAGTTCCACAGGATTAACACTAGAGCCTCTAAACTGCTCCCTTTTAGTGCCTACTCCACTGCAAATAGAATGATCTATCCAAAACATAAGATAAAGTCCAAGCTCCTAAACATATATTAAGGCTAGGGTTTCTTTTATACTTCTGAGGCTCAACTTTTGCCACTTCCCACCTTGATTTCAATGTTCCAGTTAAACTGAACAGTTTAATTCCCCAGACAGTGACAGCAAGGCTATTCTTTGTCCTGGAATGCCCCTTCTCTGCCCAGCTCCCTATACCACTTATTTGCCTCACCAATTCTTGCATATTCTGCCTTAATTTAGCTCTACATTCCAATTTTAATACTTATCAATAGTGGATGAGACTGAGTGAATCTAAAACCATTTCACTTTGCCATTTGTTTACTGTAGACTGCTTAAGTATAGGACAGTATCATTTCCATACGTCTCTAGTGCCCCATGTATCAAAATACCGACTGAAGAGTGAACAATAAATAGAAGGCTCACCATGAATTCACTTTGGAGTAAATGTGAACTTGCCACGACGTCCCTCAGCTGAGACCTTGTGAGAATTCGGCTGGCTGACTGCAGATACTCCATTGCTACCTTCTCCCGTGGTGTTGGTATAGACACAAAGGGTTCAATGTTCCCCAAGCTACTCATGTCCAATGTAAGAGATACGTTGGACCCTCTTCTACATTGGAGAAGAATGTTATGTTTAAACACCACATACTTATTTTGATTGCAAAAACTTGTCTTTCTGTACATGCACACAATTCAGTGAGAACTTTTACAGAAATAACAACCAACTATATTTTCTCTTTTAGTATCATGGTTGGCCATAGCAACTACCCATAGTTCCTTCACAGGAAAATAACAATTTTGTTGTTGGAAAGAACTCTAAATTGAGAAAATATGCTATAATTTATGAATGCATATACTTATTACAGAAATCATAGGTTGGCTAATAATATTAAGTGAAAAATTAAGTAAAAAAAAATTAGGAAAAGCTATATCTATATCTATATCTTCTGAGTGAATCCCTAAAAAATGGCTTCTGGGGCCAGATGAGGTAGTTCATGACTGCAATCCCAGCACTTTGGGAGGCTGAGGTGGGTGGATTGCCTGAGTTCAGGAGTTCAAGACCAACCTGGGCAACATGGTAAAACCCTGTCTCTACAAAACATACAAAAAGTAGCTGGATGTGGTGACCCACACTTGTAGTCTCAGCTACTAGGGAGGCTGAGGTGAGAGAATCATTTGAGCCCGGGGGGTTGAGGCTGCAGTGAGCCGTGATGGTGCCACTGTACTCCAGCCTGGGCAGCAGAGAGAGACCTTGGCTCTAAAATAAATAAATAAAACAATAGATAAAAATAAAAAAAGATGGCTTCTGTATCCTCTATTTATGTGTATATGTATGCACGCATATGTGAATTGACACACGAATTCATTTAATTTTGTGGTAAACTTATAAGGGGCCATAGAAATCACAGACCCTTAAAATGAGTTACAATTTATCTTCCTCTCATAATTCCCCTTTTCCCGCTGGGGGGCAAGGGGATGCTCTTACAACTTACACAGACCCTGAGTCCTGAGTAGGAAGTGAGGATGCCTTTTACAAGTAATATTAGCTGTGTGGACCAAGGGGTAACTATGAAATAGCATGTGAGAGACTGAGGATTGAAGTCAGAGATGGTGTTTACAAAAACTGTTACATTTAAAGGGGCCGTAGGTGTGTGTCAGATCAAATATAGTGCCAAGCAGTTGGCGGCTCAAGGAAGTAGAGAGCAGGGAAAAACAGGCCAAAATATGTGAGAGTAAAGACAGTAAGAGTAGATGCTAGGCCCAGCAAATTATTCCCTCTGGTATTTTAATACTTACTCTGGAATGCGACATTAAGAAATATTACAGTGGCTTGAGCTTAATTTCAAACAGTGGAAAATTATTGGAATATACAACAACAACAACAAAATCCATTAACGAAAATCTATCAGTTTTCTTCTCTGATGAATCTGCCTCTGGTTGCATTTTTGTTGTCATTCTATAATTTGATATGTAATGTCATTTTTGTTAATTTCTAAATGGTTTGTAATTGAGATTTTAATTTCTACTTTAATTTGATGGATATCTGTAAGTTTAGACATTTATTTTCCTTATAATTTCTAGTTATAGTTGTGGAAATTAGAGAATGGCTGGCCTTTTAATGGTTGAAACTACTTGATTTTTTTTCGAGATAAACACTACATCATTTTCTAAATATTTCACAGATGTTTTGCTGGCATCTAGTTTGATTATCTGTATATGTTCATAAGTATCTATCTGCACATATATACATATATATCACCTTATTTATTATACCATTATTTTATTGAAGATATTACTTTATTCCAACCTATTCTTTCCTTCCTTTTTTTTTTTCTACTGGATTTGTCAAAGCCTGAGATATGTATGTGAGTCTTCCACAATAATTATGCTTGTTATTTTTCCTTCTAACAGTTTTTACCTTGTACATTGCAGCCATTGTGTTATTTGAAGGGATTTAGTCATATCTTCACTATAAATGTTACCAATATTACTTTCTTTCCTGTTAATTTTATATTTGCCCTCACATCTGGCTTTAAAAAATGAATATTGATATGCCTATATGTTTTGGGGGGTATGTTTCTGAAAACTTTTTCTCATCCTATTATTCTTCTTAACTCTTTTGGATCACTGGGTTAGGGATTAGGGAATAGCATTTATTCTAGATGCTCATAAAATCCTGCCTACCTAATAGAGGGATATTTTTCCCACTCCACTTTTTCTTATTTGGTTTTTGGTGGTGGTTGATAGGGTTCCTGTGCTTCTGAGTAGGAGGCAAATAGTTGAAGAAGAGCAAAGAATGGTTCTACTCATGGACCAAGAATTTAATCTATTTTTAGTGGGAAAGTAGTTTTTAAAGTTTTTCAGTTCAGTTCTGGACTTCAAATTGATAGAAAATCCTTACGGATTCTGATAATAGTTTGCCGATTGGTCTTAATATTTAGGGCATTTGTGAGAATTCAGCTTTTGCAAGCTTTATAGATATTTTAGTATGAAGGTGAGAGAGGCCGCTTAAGGGATGGCTAGTCCTATGCCCTTTAAAATCACCATGCCATTCAGTCAAATTTTCAGCCTCAAGAGACAAAATTGTCTGCCCTCTGTCAATGGAGTGATGCTTGTGCTATAGATGGTGAGATCTCTTCCATCTGGAGTGGTCAGAGCAGATTCATGAGGTAGAAGTCATTTAAGTTGGGCTTTGAAAGCAAACGTTTAATAGGTGAGTTTTTGGTCTAGAGTTAAAGAATCTGGTAGGAAAAAAAGTGTAGGAGAATAAATTAATACAACTTTGAAGAACAGCATAGAAGCAGTTTGAGCTAGAGTTCTCTTGTATAAAAATGTATTTTGAAATTGGGGAGCAGGCTTATGTAAGAGAGATGAGAGAGAAGCAACAGTCATAGACACTATAAGACTATAAAAAGCCCAAAAATAGTCCAGGGATGTTGGCTGACATCTGTAATCCCAGCACTTTGGGAGACTGAGGCAGGAGGATCACTTGAGGCCAGGAGTTTGAGACTGGCTTGGGCAACATAGCAAGACCCTGTCTCTACAAAAAATAAAATAGCTAAGTGTTGTGGTGCTTGCCTGTAGTCTCAGCTATTCGGGAGGATGAGGCCGGAAGATTGCTTGAGCCCAGGAGTTCGAGGCTGCAGTGAGGTAAGATTGCACCACTGTCGTACTCCAGGTTGGGTGACAGAGTGAGACCCCATGTCAAAAATAAATAAATAAATAAATACATAAATAACGAAAAAAAAAGCCAGATAAAAGAGGATCCAGAACATCATCAGGGTGTATTAATTTCTGTTTTGACTTCCCACAGTATACGCTGCCTAAACCTGGGAGATTAGAAGCCTTTGACATCCCGTGTCTAAGGTCTATTTGATTTAATGAGTTAATTTTCTAAGGATTCTGTGGTAAGCAGAGAGCTGTGGAAGCATTTTCATGCTAACTGACTTAAATAATAACCATTTATATATTACAGTCAGAAAGACATTTCAAAAACAAGATAAACATATAAACTTATGGGAAAATTCTAATTAAGACGTATAAAAAAATTGACAGAATTTAGAAAAAAAATCAACATAAATAATAGGAGAACTATACCTTTAATAAAAAAGGAATGTGGAAAGCAAGAAAACGAACTCTACTGAAAGCTTTACTTTTATTTTGTCTTGGAACTGTGGGCAAACTGTTTAGCCTTTTTAATGCCTCATGATTGCTGTTGGACAAAAGGGAACATAATAAAAAGCTTTATCAAGCTCCTGCTGCAGCACCAATTATTATTTATGCCAAAAAATAAATAAGAGGGAGGAAATTCAAAAGATACCAATGCAAACAATTGAAGGAAAAAGCAAATTCTTAGGGAAAGGTAAAAGGAATGCAATAAACAGCATGCTAATTATAATTAACTAAAAAGGAAAATATGTATAAATATTATGGGCCAGGGCGACACATCCATTTCAGCAAGAGAATATAAACAACTTTGGGTCAAAATTGTTCAATTCTAATGACATCAGTTTCTAATGACTTAGAGGTGGGAAGAAAACGTAGCTAAAAATACAGTAACATTACAACTGAGTGTTGGAATAACTCAGAAACCAGGCATTTATTTTCCCGGTAGTTGGGGACCATAATGCTAGATTTTAGAAGCTGAATTTAGGAAGAAAGGGCTAAAATTTCTAGTATCATGTCTACGGGCTCTAATTCTCAGACATGCTACTTTTTTTGCAGTACTTTGGTCACTGAGAACAGTGAGACTTCAAGCAGTATACCTCATTTAGCAACCAATAAAGAATGGAAATGGAAGAGGACAAAATGAAACAGATGATCATTTTTTCTTGTAGTCCCGGAAGATGTACTTTTGAAACTGTTGGATTATGAAATTAAGTTTCAGTGGGAAATGGTGGCAGCTGCTTATCTTGAAATACTTGAAATGAGAACGGAAAAATATGGATTTTAAAGATTATAAGAAGAATTTAGTACAGAATGAAAGCAAACAGATTTGACTTCCGAGATTTTTTTTTTTGGTTCTGTGAAAAGTATATATAATTTGTCTGGAGTTGTCTTCATTAGTGTACACGTCAAATCTTATGTGGTGAGAAGCAAGAACTTTAATGTTGATGTTGTCTTCAGAACTGAAAATGTGATCTTGAATCCTTTAGTCCAACTATTCATCCTTGTGTGTTACAGTGGCCATGAATCTGACAATCTTGGCTTGATCATAAAAGGTGACCTTAAACCCTCTCACCCACAACTTATTTAATTTTGCACATACAATTTTTCTACATAGTTTTCTAGAATAACTCTACTTAAACAGAATGAAAAAGGAAAAAAAAAACAAGTTTTTGCTCATTTGAATAACAAAGGAGACAAAAGTGGAGAAATGGAGAGATGGAATTCTTTTACTTTGTGTGGACTGAGTGGCATAGGCAGTTTTTGCAACTCCCAATTCTATGACTTTTAAGTTCCGAGGTTAATGGCATTTAATAATGTTATGCTGTTTCCATCTCTTTATCTTCCAGTAAATTATACATAGTACCAACCCTCTTTCTGGATCACTTGAAAGATGATAGGATAAAACAGAAATAAACACGGACCACTAGGAAAGTTAAATTGTGACATAAATGGAGTGTTACCAATTTCGAGAACTGAAATAAATGAGTAGGTATTGTGACCATTCATAATAAAATTTCCCAAAGGAAATCCTGAAGGGAAGAAATAATAATAAATATAAAAGATGCCAGGCATGAACCCAGGAAGATGATATATGAATTTCACCCTAAAGTAAAAAGAAAATCTTTTAACATAGAGAACATTTTTAGTGTAGGAAATGATCCATTTTCCTACCTGAAAGGACCTACACCTCACTAGGTAGAATGTTGCTATGCCTTTTGATTGAATCTATAAAAGTTTTGAATTCATAAAAAGATGTCTGACCTTTTATATGTGTATAGGACAAGGCAAAATTTACTACACCCTTATTTTACAAAAAAAATTCAAAACAATCATTTAAAAGAACCAGATACATTGAACTTGTCACATTACTCTTGAAATATTGACCTTGGAAAATGCGTTCAATCATTGTTCTGCATTTCGCTTAAGCAACTTGGACCTTAGACTGCATAATCTGCAAATGGGAATAATAATAAAACTCACAAAATTGACTCACACCATAAAAGATAAATAAGCAAGAATATGTGAATACTTCCACCCTAATGTCTGGGATATAATAAACATATATGAATTATTATCATAATTAATAATAACATGGTGATTTTTGCTTCACTCTCTATTTACACAGCTATGTGGGAGCTACATGAGTACACACTGATGAACATTTGAGGGAGGTAAAGTTGAGAAAATTGGTTAGTGATTAAGAGTTAGCAGCAGTATCACACATGCAAAATCAATGGTCGTCTAAGTTGGGACTATTTTTCATACTTCAAGTCCTTAACATTTATACCTAATGTCTTTAAAGTTAACAATGTTTTCATGATTCAAAAATAATGCATGTTAACTAAAGCTAAAAATAGAGATTTTACAAATTTCATAATACCCATATTTAGAGTAACTGCTAAGAACATTTTTTGTGTATGTCCTTCAAGTCCTTATATGTATGACAAAAATCTAGATTTTTATTCAATATATTCTTTTATGATTTACTTTTAAAAAAAGGAAGTAGGCACAGAACCATTGCATATGATTTACTTTTTAAAAAAACTATATCATGAATGTCTTTTCATGTCCTCAAATTTTTTTAAACACTGTTTTCAAACATTTGATAGTATCCCATTATTGAGATGTGTCATAGTTATTTAACCAATACTTTATTTTTGGACATTGAGTCATTTTCAATTTTTTCACCATTATAAACAAAACTGTAATGAACATCCTTGTACTTCAATGTTTGTGCATTTCCCTAATTACTTTTCAGTCAAGAAGTCTTAAAAACTAACTCAAAATCTCTTGAGTTTGGAGAAGTCAGTGGGCACTCGCAGTGTGGAAGAGGCATGAAGACAGACTCTTGGAGCTCGCTGATATTGATGTAGCTCAAACTCTCTTCCTCTTTGGTTCAGACCTTTGCAGTTGTTCCTTAGCAAGGCTTCCTAACTCTAAAATCTCCTAGTTCAGTAGATTTTTTCCAGATTTCACTGGAATATCTGAGCACTGAAAATATGATAAAACCTGCAAGTAGCTACCCTTTTGACGTAAGATGCTTCCTAATCTATCTACTGTGTATTTCTCCATCCTCATCTCCTGTCACATTCTCATCCGGACCTGTGTCCCAGGCAGACAATCTACCTGCAGTTCTGTTCTCTATGCCTCAAATGTGCTTGCCCCAACACTTTCAGGTTCAATCCTCCAAATGCCAGGGGCTCTTTCCTCTGAGACTTCCTAGCAATTTTCCCAATATGTATCCAATATATATCATATTCACTAGAAATGATTTGCAGTAAAGTGTGAACACATTGAGGCCAAAGACTTTGACTTGAGTTCTCCTGTTGTACCCAGTCATGAACAGATGGAGAGCAACACTTTTGGCATCTGCGTGGATGAATAGTTGCAAATGAATTGGTTAGGGGGATGCTATATGTAATTACTGTGCTTTGACGGTTTTTCCAGTCCTCTGAAAATACAGGAATTGGGGGGACTATATTAAACAGGAGTCTGAAAATTTGGAGTGTAGAAGCCAAGCTTACATAGGTAAATGTTACAGTTGTGATTCAGTTTGAATCTTGTTTAAGCATCAATAAAGTCTGAGCATTAACATCCTAAAGTTACATCCTATGTTAATTTTATTCAGAAAAAGGAAGAAAATGTACTGCTTTGTTTTGTAACCAAGGATGATTAATTTTTACTCCTTTTTTTTTTGTCATTTGGTATTGTTTTGACTGTCATTCATGGTGAGGAGGCTGTTTCCCTTTCAACAAAATAACAAAATGATAGTAGTTCTATTTTTAGTTCCTAAGTTAATTTTTCCTAGTTTATATAATTATTTAAGAAAAAGATGCTAAAAAAATTAATAAATCTCAATGACTAAGCCATTCCTTGTGAAATGAGAAGTCTTCTTTGAATTTCAGCTGATTTAAATATAAATACAAATACAAACACACACACACACACACACACACACACACGGCATTTTCTAAGTAGCACAATACAATGAATAACCTCCTGTCTCTTTATGCAATCAACTACCAAAGAACCCTTTTAATCCTGATCATTACAAATAAATTAAATATATTCATTTATTTGTAAGGCCAGAAATGACACCTATTGTCCTGATACCAAAACCTGGCAGAGATTCAATAAAAAAAGAAAACTTCTGGCCAGTATCCTTGATGAACATTGATACACTAATCCTCAATAAAATACTGGCAAACGAAATCCAGCAGCACATCAAAAAGCTTACCCACTGTGATCAAGTAGGCTTTATCCTGGGATGCAAGGTTGGTTCAACATATACAAATCAATAAATGTAATTCATCACATAAGCAGAACTAAAGACAAAATCACATGACCATCTCAATAGATACAGAAAAGAATAAAATTCAACATCCATTCATGTTAAAAACTCTTAATAAACTAGGTACTAAAGGAGCATACCTCAAAATACTAAGAGCCATATATGACAAACCCACAGTCAACATCATACTTGAATGGGCAAAAGCCGGAAGCATTCCCCTTGAAAATCAGCACAAGACAAGAATGCTTTCACCACTTGTAGTCAACATAGTATTGGATGTCCTGGCCAGAGAAATCAGGCAAGAGGAAGAAATAAAGAGCATTCAAATAGGAAAAGAGGAAGTAAACTATCCCTGTTTGCAGATGACATGATCCTGTTTGCAGATGACATGATCCTATATCTAGAAAACCCAGAGTTTCAGCCCAGAAGCTTCTGAAGCGAATAAACAACTTCAGCAAAGTTTCAGGATACAAAATCAATGTGCAATGTGCAAAAATCACTAGCATTCTTGTACACCAACAACAGTCAAGCCAAGAGGCAAATCAGGAATGAACTCCCATTCACAATTGCCCCAAAAGGATAAAATACCTAGGAATACAGCTAACTAGGGAGATGAAAGACTTCTACAAGGAGAACTGCAAAACACTGCTCAAGTAAATCAGAGATGATACAAACAAATGGAAAAACATTCCACGTTCATGTATAGGAAGAATTAATATTATTAAAATGGCCATACTACCCAAAATGATTTATAGATTCAATGATGGCACTTAATATTAATTAAGCCAAGTTTGTAAGAAATGGCTTACCTGAATTATCTCATTTAACTGTTACAACAATTTTTGAGAAAGACTATTCACAGAACTAGAAAAACTATTTTAAAATTCATATGGAACCAAAAAGGAGCCCAAATAGCCAAGACAATCCTGAGCAAAAAGAACAAAGCTGGAGGCATCATGCTACCTGACTTCAAACTATACTACAGGGCTACAGTAACCAAAACAGCATAGTACTGGGACAAAAACAGACACGGAGACCAATGGAACAGAATAGAGATGCCAGAAATAAGGCTGCACGTCTACAACTATTTGATCTTCAACAAATCTGACAAAAACAAGCAATGGGAAAGTATTCCCTATTCAGTAAATGGTGCTGGGAGAACTGACTAGCCATATGCAGAAAATTAAAACTGGACTCCTTCCTTATATCATATACAAAAATTAACTCAAGATGGCTTAAACGCTTAAATGTAAAAACCCAAACTATAAAAATCCTTTAAGAAAATCCAGACAATACCATTCAAGCCATAGGCAAGGACATAGGCATTTCATGATGAAGATGTCAAAAATGATTTCAACAAAAGGAAAAATTGACAAATGGGATTTAATTAAACCAAAGAGCTTCTGCACAGCAAAAGAAACTATCAACAGAGTATAACAGACAACCTACAGAATGGGGGAAAATTTTTGCCAACTCTGCATCAGACAAAGGTCTAATATCCAGCATCTATAAGGAACCTTAACAAATTTACAAGAAAAAAAATCTCATTAAAAGGTGATCAAAGGACAGGAACAGACACTTCCCAAAAGAAGATATAGGTGCAGTCAACAATCATATGAAAAAAATCTCAACATCACTGATAATTAGAGAAACGCAAATCAAAACCATAATGAGATACCCTCTCACACCAGTTAGAATGGCTACTATTAAAAAGTCAAAAAATGACATATGCTGGCAAGGTTGTGGAGAAAAAGGAATGCTTATACACTGTTGGTGGGAGTGTAAATTAATTCAACCATTGTGAAAGACACGGTGGCAATTCCTTAAAGACCTATAGACAGAAATATCATTCGACCCAGCAATCCCATATACCCAAAGGAATATAAATTGCTCTATTATAAAGACACATTCACACATATGTTCATTGCAGCGCTATTCACAACAGCAAAGACACGGAATCAACATAAATGCCCAGTAATGATGGACTGGATAAAGAAAATGTGCTACATATACACCATGTAATACTATGCAGCCATAAAAAAAGAACGAGATTATGTCCTTTGCAGGGACATGGATGGGTCTGGAGGCCATTAGCCTTAGCAAACTAACACAGGAACAGAAAATCAAACACTGTATATTCTCCCTTATAAGTGGGTGCTAAATGATGAGAACACATGGATATGTAGAGGGGAAAAACACACACTGGAGCCTATTGGAGGGTAGAGAGTGGGAGGAGGAAGAGGATCAGGAAAAATAACTAAGGGGTAGTAGGATTATTTAGTATATTTATATTTAGTATATTTATTTATATTTAGGGGTAGTAGGATAACTAAGGGGTAGTAGGTATTAACCTGGGTGATGAAATAATGTATACAACAAACCCCCATGACACAAGTTTATCTACGTAACAAACCTGCACATGTACCCCTGAACTTAACATAGAAGTCAAAAAAGAGCCCTTTATTTTAATTCCAAATCCTTAAATTTGTTTTTAGTCATTGGAAAGAAACATTTATAAAGTTAAGTATTCACAAAGAAAATTTTTACATTTATGCCAAGGATTATGTATTTTTAAAAGTACCCTTTAATATCTATCTGAAAGATTCTAGATTCCATCTCAGTCATTTGATATAAAAAGCAGATATCTTAAGTCATTAAGCAGGGTACATCAAGGTCTGCCTTTACCTAAAATGAACTCTCAATCAAAATTATGAAAATCTACTCTCTCCAGAGTTTCTCCAAATGTTTACCCAAGAACAGTAAGTTATTTAAATATACATCTCTGTGTTTGTTCAGTGTTCATTTAAAAGTGTACCACCCGCCATGTAATCGTGGGCTTTGGTCAGTTAGGTGCTTTGCAAATAAACCAGGATGACCTTTGCTCCCTACAAGTCACTGGCCTTTCACCTTGGAATTTCAGAGTAGGGAGTGGCTTCTTTTTGGCCAGTGGAGAGTCAATGACTTTGCTGGGTTACTCTGTGGCCACAGATTATATTTAAAGTATCATCAGTCTTCAGGTGGAAGGAAGGAAGGCGCCAATTACCTGGAAGGGCTGTGTTAGAATTAAATGAAGAGAATGCACTTGATTTGATCACCGTGATCAGATTCTTGCCAGTATAAATACACAATCATGTTATCGGTGATGCCTAGTACATGGATGAATGCCTAAATATAAATTATTTAACACAGTTGCCAATAGTTAAAATAAACCTCTCCCCATAAGTAACTGGGATTTGTTGATTTGATGCCATTCATAATAATTCATTTTTTTCTGGGTCCTTCCTCATCCAGTGTCAGATAAAATAATTGCAAGATAACCCTGAAAATCAAATAGCCATTCACTCAAGTGCAGATATTAGGCATACCAGATGAAGTAAAGAGTTTTTATTTTTGATACTGTGTTTTATTATCTATATTATGTCCAAGGAGCAGATAGACTGGTAAAAAATAAGTATTTCTGGAATGCAAAATATACACATTTTAGAGTGAACTGAAATTTGTCACGTAAAGGACGTTTTTATGCTTGCTATAAGAAATATATCCCTTTGCTTTTCCAGAAATAAAAATGTTCTAAATTAGCATGCTTTAACCAAATCAAACAAAATGAAAAAATGCCCAGAAGCAATTCCCAACCAATTTTATATAATATTAATGAGTAATATTTATGATAGAAAACTAAAGTTATATATACTCCCTCCTCTTTTTTATTGAGATCAACTTATGTACAATAAAATTCACATTTCCAAAGTGTAAAATTCAATGGTTTTTATTATAGTCACTTAGTTGTATAAGCATCACTACAATAAATTTTAAAGCATTTTCCTCACTCCCCCCAAAAAAATTCTCCCTGCTCACTGGCAGTTACTCTGTATTTCTCTCTCTCTCCAGGCTCTAGAAACCACTAATATACATGCTGTGTCTGTAGATTTACCTGCTTTGGACATTTCGTATAAATGGAATCATACAACGTATGGCCTCTTGTGTCTTGTCTGACTTCTTTTACGTAGCATAAATGTTTTCACGGTTCATCCATGTTGTAGCATCTATCAGTACTACATTCCTTTTCATGGCACAATATAGTCCATTGTATGGATACACCCACATTTTGTGTATTCATTCATCAGTTGATAGACATTTGGGTTGTTTCTACTTTTGGCTAGTATGAATTATTTTGCTACGAACATTTGTGTTTAAGTTTTGCATGAACATATGTTTTCATTTCTTTTGGGTATACACCTAGGAATGGAATTTCTGGGTTATATGGTAACTACATTTAACTTTTTGAGAAACTACCAAATTCTTTTCCAAAGTGGCTGTACCATTTTATGTTTCCATCTGCAATGTCTGAGATTTCCAATTTCTCCACATTCTTGCTAATACTTGCTGCTGCCTTTTTTTTTTTTTAATAATAGCCATCCTAGTAGGTGTGAAGTGTATCTCATTGTGGCTTTGGTTACATTTCCCTAATGACTGACAATGTTGAGCATGTTTTCTTTGGCTTACTGGACATTTATATATATTCTGTGGATAAATGCCTAATGAAATCCTTGGCCCATTTTTAATTTGGGTTGTCTTTTTATTTTGCGTTGTAAAATTATGTATATATTCTGGACACTAGACCCTTATTACATATATGCCTTCCCATTCTATGAATTGTCTTTTCACTTTCTGATAGTATTTGTGATGATTAATTTTATATGTCAAGTTGAGTGGGCCATGGTTTGCCTGGGTATTTGGTCAAACCTTATTGTGGGTGTTTCTCTGAGCGTGTTTTGGATGAGAGCAACATTTACATTGGAAGACGGAGTGAAGCAGAGCAACCCTCCTAATGTAGTAGGTCTTATCCCATCAGTTATGGAGACACAGCATAGATTAAAAGTGAAGTTTTGGCACTAAGTTATTCTGAAGTAGATACCTGAAGGTATCTCTGTGGTCTTCATGACTGTGTCTGCCTACATTATTATTCAAATAATGTGGTTACTGTTCTAGTCTCACTTCATTTTATATTGAATAGACATATCTATGATATAAATATCTATTAATTCAAAGAAAACAATATCTTGTTTTAATTATTAAAATGTTAATTTAATTATAAAATTAATACATACTTATACTAAAGTTTTCAAATAATGCAGAAGGAAGCAAATGAAAAAGAAAGCCCTCTTCCCCTAGTTCTTCCCGCCTCCTGATTTTCTGGCTCTGCTTCTCACAGCTCACCACAATTTGGGTTATGTACCCTTCTTTCAATTGCCCACGCACTTACAAAGACAAATATAAATTGGATCATAAAATTTCATATAGTTTTGCAACTTTTTCCCTACTTTACATTATATATTGGAAAATTTGTCTTATTAGAACAACAATGTGGATTTCATAATTAAATGCACAATTATATATATATGTTAATAGATATTTATTTCCAATTCTTTTTGCTATTACCAACAATGTTGCCATGGAAAGTCTTCTACTGTATATTTGTTTATTCATGCAAATGTATCTGTACGAACATAATATAAGTTTCTCCTATAGACCAGGTGCAGTGGCTCTCACCTTTACTCCCAGCACTTTGGGAGGCTGAGGCGGGCAGATTGCATGAGCCCAGGAGTTTGAGACCAGCCAAGGGAACATGGCAAAAGCCCATCTCTACAAAAAATACAAAAATTCGCTGGGCATGGTGGTGTGTTCCTGTAGTTCCAGCCACCTGGGAGGCTGAGTGGGAAGATCGCTGGAGCCTAGGGAGGTTGAGGCTACAGTGAGCCGTGATCACGCTACTGCACTCCAGCCTTGGTGACAGAGTGAGACCCTGTCTCCAAAAAAAGTTTCTTCTATATATTGAGTATGCCAAAATAATTTTTTTTTTGTTATTTAAGACATTACGATATCAGGGAACCTGCCCCGATAGTCATGTAGGTTCTTTTCTATTTTCCCTAAGCATCGGCTGGTTTGAGAAATAAAGGGACAGAGTACAAAAGAGAGAAATTTTAAAGCTGGGCGTCCGGGGGAGATATCACATGTCAGTAGGTTCTGTGATGCCCCACAAGCCGTAAAACCAGCAAGTTTTTATTAGGGAGTTTCAAAAGGGGAGGGAGTATACGAACAGGGTATGGGTCACAGACATCAAGTACTTCACAAGGTAATAGAATATCACAAGGCAAATGGAGGCAGGGTGAAATCACGAGACCACAGGACTACAGGACCGGGGCAAAGTTAAAATTGCTAATGAAGTTTCCGGCACCATTGTCATTGATAACATCTTATCAGGAGACAGGGTTTTGAGAGCAACCGGTCTGACCAAAATTTATTAGGTGGGAATTTCTTCTTCCCAATAAGCCTGGGAGCGCTATGCAAGACTGGGGTCTATTTCACCCCTACAGTCTACAGACCATAACAGATGGCCACGCCCAGGGGGGCCAGTTCAGAGACCCACCCCCAGGCGCGTATTCTCTTTCCCAGGGATGTTCCTTGCTGAGAAAAAGAATTCAGCGATATTTCTCCCATTTGCTTTTGAAAGAAGAGAAATATGGCTCTGCTCCGCCCGGCTCACTGGTGGTCAGAGTTTAAGGTTCTCTGTCTTGTTCCCTGAACATTGCTGTTTTCCTGTTCTTTCTTCAAGGTGCCCAGATTTCATATTGTTCAAACACAGGTACTCTACAATTTGTGCAGTTAATGCAATTATCATAGGGTCCTGAGGCGACATACATCCTTCTCAGCTGACAGGATTAAGAGATTAAAGTAAAGACAGGCATAGGAAATCACAAGGGTATTGATTGGGGAAGTGATAAGTGTCCATGAAATCTTTACAATTTATGTTTAGAGATTGCAGTAAAGACAGGCATAAGAAATTATAAAAGTATTAATTTGGGGGACTAATAAATGTCCATGAAATCTTCACAATCCAGGTTCTTCTGCCAAGGCTTCAGCCGGTCCCTCCGTTTGGGGTCCCTGACTTCCCGCAACCTTACATAAAGCAGCCTCTTTACCTCTTTTATCTATCAGCTTCTAAGTGTTTATAACAGGATAAAATCATTAAAATACTGGAATTCTAGACATGCTAGAAAACACTCAGATTGGGTCCACTATATATGTACTCTAACTTTATCTCCCATTTTTGGGTAGAATTGTTAATAATTTTCAATTTTTTTCTATTGTCTGTCTTCTAAGTAAAAAAAAAAAAAAAGTTTGCCTCTAATGAAATTTATGTATTTGTAAATTATATACATGTACTATTATACTTATGTATTATGCAAATTATGAAATATTTACAAAATTTGAAGTAGGAAAGGGCAAGATAAATGTACTTTTTTTGTAATATATATGTTTTACACCCTAATGGATCATTTTACACATTTCTTGGGATGCACATGCCCCACTTTGAGACCACTCTCTCAATTATCTAGACTTACATAGGTAATGGTAACTTTTTTCAGCCACTTTGGATATACAAGACAGTAAGCACCTAGGACCTATGGTATCTACCATATCAGCTACAAGTACTATTCATCAAAGATTATTTAAAATAGCATTTTGCTGGGCGTGGTGGCTCATGGCTGTAATACCAGCTACTTGGAAGGCTGAGGCAGGAAGGATCACTTGAGCCCAGGAGTTCAAGGCTGCAGTGAGCTATAATTGTGCCACTGCACTCTAGCCTGGGGACAGAACAAGTCCCTGTCCCATAAAATAAAATCATTTTGTGTATCACAGAAGACACTTCAGTCTTCCCTATAGATATGCAACTGGTAATCATTAAGTTCTCACTGCAAGAATATATCATCCAAATCACTACTATAACCATAAAGACAAAATTAAAATGTTCTAAACTTACTATATTCAACATTTCTCTCAGGCAGATGGCAGTGAAGAATATGTAAAAACAGACTTTTAAACAACGGCTACAAGAATATTCTTTGTTTCTCTAACATACTATTCTTCCTCAGGTATTGTTTTATGAGTTAATTCATTATTTCTTTTCATCAGAGATCTTTTAATATAAAAATCATAATATTTATCTGGACAACTCTTAATTTCTGATACTCAATAATGACATTTTTATTATATCTCCAATATATGTTTCTGTGAATGACATAATAATGAACACAGAAAATCTTTAAAAACATTGAGCACTAACATTCTTTTCAAATAAAGAGAGAGTGTTAGGTGAGAATAACTTCTGATACCAGCTAACTCTGTCATCTTAGCATATTAAGCTGTCCTAAGCTATACCAGTGACATTTCATTCTGAAAATGATCATTTCTGATGAAAATGAACTCAAGAAATACACAAATGAGTCTAAGTACTGAAAGACTCTAACAAAGGATTACAAGGGATAGGGTCACCAAATTGAGCAAACACAAGCACAAGACTCGCCCCAGTTAGATTTTGAAAAATAGCTCTATCACATTTTTGTAATTTAATGAAAAAATGCTTAGTACAGGACATGCAGCACATCCTGACAAAGTCAATACAAGACACAGGACAAAATTGTTAAATACAGAACATGTCCCATATCTACAGAATGCCTGGCTAACCTAACAAGATGGAACACAATTGACCTAATTTTAATTTCTTCCATGCATCCGGGCATTTCCTGTGTGCATGGCAGGGATTTGTAGGTGTGAAAAGGAAAATAAGAATGAAATACAAAGGAGTTTCCAAACTGACTAGAAATGAATTATTTCTTCTGTTTATCATAATGTTTTGCATTGATTCCAAAGGAAAAAAAATAGTATTTGCTTTTATTACATATTAAACAATTATCATATAAAACCTGATAATTGGTCAGTAATTTTCCTGTAATAATGCTTATTGATTTCTGGCATGAATAGGCATCTATGCTAAGAAAAGAAAAATACAATCTTCTTTTTAAAAATACTATACAGCCATGGTATTTGAAAAGTCTCTCAAATACTAACTGTCTGAATCAGGATAAAATGACTTTTAGAAAACCCATTACTTTGATTTAAATGTTATATTTTTTATAGAATTGGAATTGCTTCTTGTCTGCCGAACATTTGAGACAACAAAGTATTGTATAGATTTAACACTGGAAGCTATACTTCTAAGAGAGATTTAAAATAAATACCTCATGGTCCACTGTTTTTTTTTTTTCTTGAGATGGAGTCTTGCTCTGCTGCTGAGGTTGGAGTGCAATAGCACGATCTCAGCTCACTGCAATCGCTGCCTCCTGGGTTCAAGCGATTCTCCTGCCTCAGCCTCCCGAGTAGCTGGGATTACAGGCGTGTGCCACCATGCTCAGCTAATTTTTTGTATTTTTAGTAGAGACGGGGTTTCACCATGATGGCTGGGCTGGTCTCAAACTCCTGACCTCGTGATCCGCCTGCCTAGCCTCCCAAAATGCTGGGATTACAGGTGTGAGCCACTATGCCTGGCCGGTCCACTGTTTTAAACACAAATACACACCTTTTTTGTGTCTTACCATTCAGGGTTGAATATTTGGTGGAATGTTTTAAAGAGTTAGATGTTACATTAATCCTTTGTATTTTATGTGAAGAAAATGTATTCATGCTAAAAATAGTTTTCAACAATTTAAATATTTTGAGTGTGTATATTGTAGATGAGGTGAAATGTTTACAAAACAAGGATTCAATTATAATGGGGAAATACTAGAAGAATACATAAATTTACAGATTGAAACATATTTATACCATTTTGCACATGCTTGAAATATTGTGTAAAACAATTTGAAGATAAGTCCTTTGGACTTTTTTGCTTTCGTATGTCTGAATTATCAATACGCACATTTTCCACCAATAATTCTCCATGTCAGATGAGGACATTCGGAGAAGTGTGAATGAGATAAAAACGAGGTGCTTAAGACATTCTGTTCAAACGGATAGAGTTCATTTACTGAATACTCCTGACCGGTTCCTGGAGTTCAGATCCACACCTAACAAATTCCCAAAGTTCTTCAGACCTCAGCAAGTCAAAATACGCTACGGAAATCATTTTTGACAAGAACTCTCGGGCTAAGCTTTAAGTAATCAGTATCTGGTTAGGACAGGAATCACCCAGTATCCTGTGGAGGAAAACAGCCGACATGAAGGCCATTTCAGCTTTCCCTCTTCTAATCATGCTTTCTAACCTACTGCCAATTCGCTCCTAGGCTGTCCTCGATAAGGCATGCCGTAGGATTACGGGAACCCAAAGTTCACGAATGCAAACTTCACGAGGCTGCCCGGCCCCATCCTTTCCAGAAGATCATATCTACAGCAAAACGGTGCTTTATCCTAGAAATCCCTTTTCAATCCAAATCCTAATGGAACTCCTTGACAACCCCTTGACTAAATTACATTAGTAATATAGTTCCTAACAATTTCCTTTGTTAGGAAGGGGAGCAAAAGGGCAAAAAAAAAAATCATTTTTTTAAAAAAATAATGAAAATTGCAAAGGCTTAAATACTGAAAGAATTGCTTGCCTCTACAACAAATCTGTATCATTACTAACAAGCGATAAAAGGCCTTCCGATGGATACCAAATGAGAACCTTCCAGAGGGCCACGGGCGCCCAGCTGGAAACCCCTGCTAAGAGCATCTGCAGTCTGAACCCACAGTGACTGCGCGTCTTCTCTGGATGCCATTAACAGACCTCTGCGAAGGGAGGCTTCGGCTGCTCCACGTCAGCTTTAGGATTGGTACGTGGCCCTTTCTTTGTTTATCTGATTTGCCTTTAAATCTTACAATGGCAACAAGTGTCTCAAGTAGGATTGTTGAGGACAGAGAAACAATGCTCAAATGTCCTTTGAACAAAACCAAGAGCCCACCCTGCCGACGACCCTGAAACCTCTCCTGTCTGTAAGTGGCGCACAAGCGCCACCTGGAGGGTGCAAGGCGCAACCATCGCTCTTCTCAAAGTGGAATTGGTCTGTGTTAGGCTGAAGAGATTATTTTATTTTAAAATGCTTCCATTCCTCCACTGAAAAAATTTAATATAGTCTAATTATGAATATGGAGAAGGTGGAAAAAGAAAAATCCTCGGGTGCCTTAGTCATTAGGGGAAGCAGGAAATAGAAACAAGCGTGAGATCTGGGGGCACATTACCTGGGCTCGAATCCTATCTCTGCAGTAATGTACTCTGCGACCATGGAAATGTGCTTGAATGCCTGTGTCTCCGTTTCCTTATCATTAAATTTGAGATGATATAATTTACCCACCTGAGGTGGATATGAGGAGGAAATGATTTTATATATCTGTGATGCATCTTGTACAGTACCTGGCATATAGCAACTGCTCCACAAATGTTAGGTATAGGCATAGACTTACCAAGTCTTTTCCAGTTTTTTCCTCTCTATGTAGAGGTATTGCTCTGTTACCCTGGTAATTTTTTTTTTTTTTTTTTTTGAGACAGGGTCTTGCTCTGTCGCCCAGGCTGGAGTGCAGTTGCATGACCTCAGCTCACTGCAACCTCCAACTCCCGGGTTCAAGCGATTCTCCTGCCTCAGTCTCCAGAGTAGCTGGCTAATTTTTGTATTTTTAGTAGAGACAGGGTTTCTCCATGTTGCCCAGGCTGGTCTTGAACTGGTCTCAAGTGATCCCCCAGGCTTGGCCTCCCAAATTGCTAGGACTTACAGGCGTGAGCCACCACACCTGGCTCAGGTACATTTTTCTTATTGGTACTACCACTAGGCCCTAGGATATTATCCTATATTTGAATATGCTTGATACATAATCTTATTTCACCCCACTCCCTCATCTTCGACTCCAATAACTTTTTCTATTTGGTTTCAGATTAAAGCTCAGATTTGGTTCTTCACTGAATAGGGTTTGCCTATATAGAGGTGCTCCTTAACAGCACTGCTTTCTAGTATAAGCATGTCAACACAGGTTTAGTTATTTAAAATGCATATCTTATATAAACCAGATAATCCACAAAAACACTCGTGCCATATTCCCCTAAAAGAAATGTGTTGCAGGCATATACCCATTGTTACTTCTCTTGCTTGGAAGTCCTGCAAAAGCTCTTACTTACACATGGTACTGCCAAATATCCTAAAGTTCTCCAGTTAGAAATAGGTTAGAAATATACCGAGGAGTTAGAAATATACTGAGGAGAACCAAGAGAACAGTTTTGATTAGAGTCTGAGTCAGTCAACATTGCACATATATAAAACTTCTGTCTAAGAATAGGTAATTTATCTATCCTGGCAGAGCATTTCATGAGGGGCACCGCTATTGTGAATAACAATGGACAGCCACCTCCCTTGGGCACAACCCTTTCCTCGGCTGATGGAACAGCAGGTGGAAAGAAGAGCAGGCACACGGTGGATAGCTCCTGTCCAAATAGATTATCACACAAATCAAAAGGTGGACTATTGTGGGGGAGGAATTATAAAATATATTTCAACACATTTTAGGTATTTGGCAGGATTCTGTTTGGGTTCACCATCAGCTTTCTTATAGGGCCTTGGCAAATGCAGTTTCCCTGACTGCTTAGAAATATTTATGATCTTGGGCTTTTTTCTACTAGGCAAAACTGGAATTATGAATTCTGCACAGTATAGGATTCATAACACCGCAAACTTTTCTAGCCCGTTTAATCTTTATTTCACAGGCCTAGCTTTTCTATGGAAGATACCGTAGTGAACAAATAAACAAAGTGGATTGAAATTCGCCCTGCTAATATATCCAGGAAAGGAATCGTTGGGAGGATAGTTGGATGATTATTGGAACTGGCAGGTCAGTGAGGGCAGCAGACTCTCAAAGAGCATGAACATGCTGACCAATTCATTAGAGACTCTACAGCCCAAATTGACCCCAATTTAAAATGTATCCAAATTTTGGCATGGGAAGTATTGTATTAAGAAATAAGAACAAACTAGCAGAGTTTGTTTTCAAAATGAGGGAGGCATAGATGAAAAATGGCTAAAGGCTTTTTTACCCTTTGAAAAATCTGTCCCGGCTATGCGCCCCCCGTGGACGCTTCCTTTCCCACCCACTCCTTTCCTGCTTTCTTACTACCAGAACCCAGGGTCCTTTTAGGTCTTGTGCCTAGGACTTGCAAATGCCTCGGGTGAATAAGAATGCTTTTCCTGTGTAAGAGCACAAGACATTTTAGGAACAGGAAAAGCCTATCCGGTCCAACATACCTGCCCTTTTTAGGTTTATCTAAATCCCACCTTCCTGCATTGTTACCTTCCTTCATCTTCCTATATAGAGATAACATTTCTTGTATGTTTCTCATGATCTCTCCTGTCACTAGACCTGATAAAATTAGACCTATATTTTAGTACCACTCTCGTTAAAACAAATGATTTCTGAAAAGAGTTCGCAAGGCTAGTAAACAGTTTGTAATTTTTCTTTTTTAAGAGTCATAAACCATGAGTTTGAAAGAGGAGACTCCAAAGAAGCTTGACTTGGAGGGACGCGGAGGTCATCCGGCTTGACTTTGTGCTTAGCTTTTATTTATGAGTTATCTTATTTGCCAGAATCTGGGTACCAACATTTTCTCTCAGAGTGTTCAGTGACGAGGGATATGTTTATTTGGGATAAGACTCATTATGAAGAAAATATGCAGGTGGCTAAAGATTAATTACAAGCAGCAGAGGCCTGTTAAAAAGCTTAACATTCTCTGAGCCCTTCCTTGCCCCCTGTTTCACAGTTCATATCTGGAATTTACAATAGAGTGAGGTAAGCCACCCGCCGTCATAAAGAAGGTGAGATATTTATTGAACAGATGTTTCATTACTCAAGAAAATTCACATTTTCAAGTAAAAAGCCAAAAGATGGGCCTTCCACCCAAGTCCCTGAAAAAGATTCTTGGCAGCATTTATATTTAGTGCCTACAAGTTTTACGCACTGAGTTTTTACTGTTTAGATGTGCGGGTCAACAAATCACTGAGAAGACACCAAAACTGTCTGCCAGATGTCGACCACTGATTAATTTGTCTTAAGTTCAGCCAAAAGGGAAGAAAATATGATGGGTGGAGCATGAACAGCAAGCACAATCAACATCTGACCAACCAGGGTTTCCTGTCACCTTGGGAACAAAATTGATTGGCACTGGTTTCCTGTGTACAAGTTAAAAACCAGTAGCAACTGCAGTAACAAGAATAAACTACAGATAAGAGACTTGGAAATTAAATCAAGGCACATCACCAAAATTTCAGCTTGCAACCCTAAGCAGAAAAGTTCCAAGAGAACTTTTTGAGGGCTTTTTTTTTTCCCCTTTTAAGCTATTTTGTATGTAAACTTAATTTTTCTAATTTTGCCACTTCTGGCAATCTGAAATCATTAAAAAGGACACAATTCAAATTTATGTTAGAGGTCATAAATTTTGCCCAGGACTCAATATTTTCTCATTTTTCCAAAGATAAAATCTTATTTATGCATTATAGCGACTTGGTTTTCACTTTATCTTGAATTATAGCTTTTAAGAGGCAGAAAGAATCCTTTTTATAAGGACAGTCTCAAGTGTACACACAGATTAAATATTACAAATATAGGTTGCAAATAAAACTTTCAAAATGTGGGATTATAGGAAGCAAAAGAGAACCAACCAAAGCATCAACAAATTTACCTTTTTGTTTTTTTTAAAGATTTTTCTTATTTCCTTAGCTGCTTTTGCATTAGCATTAAATAACATTCTTATTGGAGTGGTATGTGCATGGCCCAACTCAATTTTATTTGCTTTTAGTGTGAATCTGAAGTTTTATTTTTTATTGCTTTATTCATTTATTTACAGAAACTTGTTAAGCACCTAAATATGTAGAGGCATGTCTATAAATTAAGGAGCATGGCAATTTGCTCTTTATTTTTAAAAATTCACAGTGAGAGACTCCCCAAAATTAGACAAACACACAAAAAAAGATACAGATTTTTGAGGAAGAATGAAATAGGAGAGCAAAATGTTTGCAAAATATGCTTTCTTTGATAGTCTAAGTTGGAAGTTGTAAAAAATGACCATTTTGGTTATAAGAGGTTTTTTAAGTTACTTCATATCCTTTCATTCTATTCTTCCAATTTCAGAATCACTTCCAAAATGTATTCATTCATTTTATAAGTGTATATAAATTGCAAAATACTCCTCATACTGAATTTTAGAATTCATGCTACTTCTGCTGTCACTACCAGTATAGTGGTTAAGAGTGGATTATGGAGCCAGACTGCCGGGGGTTCAAATTCAGGTTCTACCCTTTAAGACTGTGTCACCTTGGGCAACTTAACCTGTATGTGCCCAGTTTTCTCATCTGTAAAATGGGGATACAACTTGTGCACGTGCTTCACTGGAATTCTATGAGGCTTAATTGAGATAATATGTGTGAAACACAACAGGGCTTGATAACGTAATAAATGCAACAGTGTAACTCTTAACTGGTATTATTAATGTTTTTTATTACTACTGCACTGCTATTGCTGCTGTTTCTGCTACCAAGACACCTTCAGTGCTACTGCTACCCTTGTTGCAGCTTCCTCTGTGTTTCTGGCCATTGTAGTGATATATTCTCAGGTTGTTGCTATTACTGACCCCTATTGGTAGTTACCACTGCTACTGCTACTGTTACAAGTAGTGTTGGTGCGTGCTCCTGCTGCAATTGCTATCATTGCTGTTACTATTATTAGCAGTTACTAGAGGTGTAGTGTGTGTATATATATGTATGTGTATGTAAGTCTGGATATATATATATACACACACACACACATATATATATTTATATAATGTTAATGGTGGCTATTTTGGTGGTGCAACTGGCTAGGAAATAATCTTTATTTTTGTTTTTGCTTAAATATGCTTTCAAAATTTCTATAAGATGTGTTATTTGCACAGTTCATTTAAAATTAAAAATATTAATAAGGGCTGGAGAAATATTGAAATCTCATATTCGTCAATATTTTGTACTGCCTCATGGCCTATTCCACCTTCCTGAGAAAGAAAGGGTGTTGAGTGCACCCTGCCCCGGTATGAGAAGGGCATCTTATATTATATCCTCCTATTATAAAATAAGCATGAAGAGACAGGGCTGGGAGACATGATTTATTTGCCATCTAGCTATGTACTAAGAGCATACGAGACATTCAGTCACTGACTGATTTTGTTATTTTTATCTCATGTCAAAATTTTCCTCACTTATCTTTATGTTTAAGAAGAAATATTTTTGATAAGAGGAGAGATTTTTGTATGTTTTAGCCAAACTATTCTCAGGAGAATGCCCTTGGGTTGGCCCATAGCTCAATTGTGAACAATTACCCTGACATTATCCTGAAAACAATCCCACAAGTTCTACTAAGAATAAATAAAGCACAATAGAATAAAATTATCCACCAAATCTAGGAAAAGCAGCTATATTTTAGCCAGGAAATAGAAGTCCCCCCACCTCCCCAATGTATTAAGTTCTTGTACTTCTGTCAGCAAAGAATTTAGCACATGGAAAAATTCAGATTCTCCAGTTATTGATTTGGGGACTGATTATTAGGGGGAAAAAGTACCGAGAGCCAACTTAGGTGAGTTGTTGTACCCTGACAATTGTCCTTGTGGTACAAATGGTTTTAATAGAACAGAGAAAATGGGGGAAAAGAATTAAAAAAAATTAGAATTGGTTATTTCTTTAGAGTAATGGTAAAACATCCCTTAGTCTATTTATTTTTTACCTTTACCAAGTGTTACAAAATTTTAAACGTCAAAGAGTTAAATATCTGGCTCTCTGAGACATACAGGCCAATATTTCTAGACTCTGTCAAATTCTAGGATGAATGCACAGCCCTGGTTGAAGGTAAATTCAATGATGTGTCTCTCTTCGCTAAGGAGGGACATTACTGCGCCTGTTGAACCCTAAATAGTAAAATCATTGTCAATACTATTGCTTATAATGTACACATCATAGATAGATGATGATCACAAGTGATATTTTTCAACATCTTCTTTGTATGACATTACCCAGAAGATCCAAGCTAAAACCCAGTAAAGAATGATGCTTTTTTTTTTTGCAGTCTGCTTTATGTTTTTGCAAAACATTTTACATTACACTTGTAAAATATATACATATGTATATATTTTAGTCAACTTAATTCAAGAAAATTATACAAAAAATCTAATTTAATGCAACAAAAACCTATCATATGCCCAGTTTTTAGGGCAAAATCAGGCTTAAAATTTGGGTAGAAATTTAAGGCCCTAGAAATGTATGTACAGTGGTTGACAATTTGGGGTCTGGAGCCAGGCCACCTGTATTCTATATTTATTGCACACCTCTCATGGCCAATTGGATGCCCTTGAGCAAGTGACATAACCTCCTGCAGCCATGGTTTTCCTTTCTGTAAAATGGGGAAAATAATGATAGGGTAGTTTTGACTCTTATGAGTTATACATGTAAAGTATTTATAACAGTGCCTGGAATGTAGTAAGTGCTTGATAAATGTTATCTGTTATCAGTATCATCATGGGATAGTCTGCATTTAATTTTTTTTTTTTTTTTTGAGACAGAGTCTCACTCTGTCACCTAGGCTGGAGTGCAGTGGCGTGATCATAGCTCACTGCAACCTCCACCTCCTGAGTTCAAACGATTCTTACATCTCAGCCTCCCAAGTAGCTGGGATTACAGGTGTATGCCATTATGCCAGGCTTATTTTTGTATTTTTAGTAGAGATGAGATTACACCATGTCTCTGCTAAAAGGTCTTGAACACCTGGCCTCAAGTGATTCACCAGCCTCGACCTCCCAGAGTGCTGGGATTACAGGCATGAGCCACCACGCCTGGCTGCATTTACAAAATGCATTTCTTCCTACTTATTCCCATTTTTTTCTCTCCAATATTTCTAAGATTTGTATATTTACGCAGGGGATGGCTAGGGGAGAGAAGGGGGAAAGTGGAATAAGCTTTTGGAATTTGGAAGAAAGAACATGTATGTTAAAATTCCTATCTAGTATTAAACATAAGTCACATATTCATTATTGTGTATTTGATCATGTACAGCATATATTGTCAGACTTCGGTATCGTGGAAGAAGAAATCTTGAAATTGTCTCACAAATTTTAAGGGTTTTGTGCTGTCATGGAAGGATCCTAATTGGATGGAACTAAGTTTTGGTTCCTAGTCCCGATTTTTTTTTTTCTCTCTCAGCAAAATAAAACACTCAGGCACTTATTAATTCAAATGTCCTCATGGACAGAGGTTTTTGCTAAACAACTATTGCTTTCTCTGGGAAACTATAGTAGTTTCCAGAAAAGGGATTGATTGAAGACCTTAATTATAAAGATAAGGTAAAACACAGCCTTTAAAATGGGTTATAAGAATTAAAAAAACCAGAATTAACTTCTAAGCATAAATGTACATAACTTATGAGTTAATTTGTTAAAAAATTATCAAAGAAAAATTCATAAAAGAAGCTATCAGATACTTTTGTATTGTGATCAGGTTTTCCAAGTGGCCAGTAAAAAGTGTGTCTGAGAGTATTTTCTAGAAAGAATTGAAAATTTTATATTAGTTATGAACAGCCCTGGGAAACTCTAAAGATGTCTTGGATACATTGAGGGGAATGATAGGTGGCAGAGAATACTGCCTAGCTACATCACTGCACCAATAGAGGACTCAGACCCAGAGTCTCATAGAAAAATGCATCCAAACGGCACAGAATGGCCAAAACGTGAGAAAGACACATGTACTTGAACATCACATGATCTACTTCACCCTCAGGTCTTTGATTTCACTTGAACATGTTTAGCCCGAGCAGACTGTCTGAGTAAACAACTGTATCAGTGGTAATCAAACTCTTTTCAAAGCTGGGGGCTCTTGGTTAAGAAAGAAAATAAGATCATACCTGTAAGTCTAATAATCAAAACAAGTGCATGCAGAGCTCAGCTCATTGAGGCATCAGAGAAGGGCCCAGGCCCCACTAGCCTACCTCTTCCCTAAGGCCCCATAGAGCATAATTGAAAAGTACTGATTTATCAAAATGTGAAATAATCCATAGCTAGCCATGAATCCAGCTACAGTTCTATTGTTGAATAACCCAATACAGGTTGAGTATCCCTGTATCCCTTATCCGAAATGCTTGGGACCAGAAGTGTTTCAGATTTTGGATTTTTTTTTTTTCAGATTTTGGAATATTTGCCATACATATATACAGAGCTCAGCTCATTGAGGCATCAGAGAAGGGCCCAGGCCCCTTCTCTGATCTCTCTCTCTCTCTCTGTCTCTAGATATATATATATGGCAAATATTCCAAAATCTGAAAAAAAAACAAAAAATCCAAAATCTGAAACACTTCTGGTCCCAAGCATTTCGGATAAGGGATACAGGGATACTCAACCTGTACTGGGTTATTCAATTATATATATATACATATATGTGTATATATATATATATATATATGTATGTATGTATATGGCAAATATTCCAAAATCTGAATATATATATATATATATATATATATATATATATATGCCAGTTGAGGATCCCTAATCCAAAGATTCAAAATCTGAAATTCTACAGTGATCCTTTCCTTTGAGCATCATGTCAATGTTCAATAAGTTTTGAATTTTGGAGCACTTTGGATTTTGGATTTTTGGATTAGGGATATTCAACCTGTACTGACAGATGGCTTCCTTCAATTCTCAAAGTTCTTTGTAAACTAATTAGTTAACTTCTTTATCTCCATTCCTTGTCCACACAACACTAAAGAGGATGCCTTCTGGCACCAACAGCCTGTGATCCTAACAATTTTAGTAATGAATATGGCTATAGGAACCCAGTATAATAGAGTAGGTAAGAGCTGTTGGAATACTACGGGGCCAAAAATGAAACTGATTTTAGAAAATTATTAGAAAAGCTTCCAGGTTTGCAATCCATGAGTTGTTTCAGTTCTAGAACTCTGCTTCCAATAAGGGTTATGGCCACTGCTTTCACATCAGAGGCTCTGCAACAGCTGTAGAGTTATGGGAACATCCTTGCGACCTGGACCAGGGAGACTGAGATTACAGTTCCCAAATAGGAATAATTTAAATACAGATTATAGAAATATATACTAATATAAATATATTCAAATACACCATAGACATTTAAATATATGCATTTAAACTTAAATGTATTTAAACACATGCATTTAATGAATATATTTAAATATGTTATACATGTTTGCATATATGTGTGTATATATAGATCTTTATACAGATTACATGTAGAGATGATCTATTTGTATCTATCTGTCTATCTATCTATCTATCTATCTATCTATCTATCTATCTGAGTATCATCTTTCCCCAACCCTGGACCAGAGCTGTTGAAGCTGAATTTGGATTGGACTCTAGAATATTTTCCATCTGGAAAGTCTGTTTAGATAGGAATATCTAGAAATATTACAAAGTTTCCCTAGAGGACTATGTTAAATGAGTTTTGGGGACCACTACTCTAAGGTTTCTCCCAACTGTAAAATGCTATATTTTTGGCCTTTTGAGAGGCCCCCAGCTCTAAAATATTAACACTTACTTCTAGATTATAACTATGCCCACCATAACCACTTTTACCAACAGTGAGTGGGAATGAAGGACGAAATTAAGCATTTATTAAGGTCTAATGTACACCAGGCACCTTAATAGGCAATACAAATACATGGACATGGCAATAAAAAAGAGACATCCTTACCTCCAAGCAGCTTACAATTTAGTTTACTGAATTACACAGTTTACTTTCTTATGAAGAATCATAATGATTTAAGAAAAAAAAAACCTGAGGAGTCCAATAACCATGTTCAAGCCATGTTTTAATTATTTTACTTGTTATTTCTATTTTGAGGATTTTGACGTTCTAATGTCATTTGATATTTTTCATAATGTCATTTGATATTTTTATCCTCTTGGGGGGATACAACTAGTGGATGACAAAAAAACAATGAAAAAATAATAATTCCAAGCAAACTATTATTGACATTGTGTTAAAGATTTTGTGAGACACCCTGCCCACACTAGATTTCACTAGTATCACCCTAGAGGATGTAAGTTCTAATGAGAATTTCTGTCACACCCAAGCCTCGATTTTTACTTTTACAGTATAGTGCTGTTTCACTCTGCCACCTGCAGGTCATATATGGAAGAACATATTTAAATTAGAAGGCCTGGCTTGGTGGCTCACTCCTGTAATCCCAACACTTTGGGAGGCCAAGGCAGGTGGATCACCTCAGGTCAGGAGTTCAAGACCTGCCTGGCCAACATGGTGAAACCCCGTCTCTACTAAAAATACAAAAATTAGCCGGGCATGGTGACGGGCACCTGTAACCCCAGCTACTTGGGAGACTGAGGCAGGAGAATAGCTTGGACCCTGGAGGAGGAGGTTGCAGTGAGCTGAGATCATGCCACTGTGCTCCAGCCTGGGTGACAGAGCAAGACCCCGTCTCAAAAGAATAAATGAATTAAAAAAAAAAGGTAGAAATCAGAGGCCAGGCACAGTGGCTCATGCGTGTAATTCTAGCACTTTGGGAGGCTGAGACAAGAGGATCACTTGAGACCAGGAGTTGGAGATCAGCTAGTGAGACCCCCATCTCTGCAAAAAATAAAAGAATTAACTGGACATGGTGGCATGTGCTTATAGTCCTATTTACTTAGGAGGCTGGGGCGAGTGGACTACTTGAGCCCAGGAGTTTGAAGTTACAGTGAGCTAGGATCATGCCACGCCACTCCAGCTTGGGGGAGAGAGAGAGAGAGACAGAGAGAGGAAGGAGAGAGAATGAGAGAGAGCAGAAGGAAGGAGGAAGGAGATAGAGAAAGAGAGAGGAGGGAGGAAGGAGAGAGAGAGACAGAGAATGAAGGAGAGAGAGAGACAGAAGGAAGGAAAGAGAGAGGAAAGAGAGAGGAAGTGAGGAGGAAGGAGAGAGGAAGGAAGGAGGAAGGAGAGATAGAGGAAGGAGAGAGAGAGGAAGGAGAGAGAGGAAGGAGACAGAGAGGAAGGAAGGAGGAAGGCAAGAGAGAGGAAGGAAGGAGGAAGGAGAGAGAGGAAGGAAGGAGGAAGGAGAGAGAGAGGAAGGAAGGAGGAAGGAAAAGAAAGAAAATATACTTTAAAGTGAAATAAACAACTCTCTTCTATGAAACTGTGATGGAAAGTTAAACCATTGGTCAAGATTATAATGATTACCTGGATCAAAAATTTGGATGGAAGAAAAATCCCTCCCCAGAAATGAAAAAAAAATGTTGGAGTTTAAACATGTACAAATAGGAAAGCAATGGTAAGGACAGTCACCCCTCTACACAATGTTCAAAGATGAGGAAGTATTGCCTCACCTGGAGAAACTTGCAATCGCCTTGTCTGAGACCTCTCTCTAGATTTCTAGACCATTCTTTCACTAATATGGAACCACTCAATTGTAGGATATTTTCTTAAGTGTCTTGATGCATATTTACGCTGTATTAACAGGTTCAGGATAGAGTCTCTTAAAGTTTACAAAGTTTATTCATTAAACAGGAGCAGAGGGGCCACGACCACAGACCTTAAAAACCAATTGGCCACATAGGGTGGTTGGATAATTTAAGCACCCGTGAAGGAGGTGGCAAGTGAGAATTTCTCCCTTTCTCTGGGCTTTCTAGAATCAACTGGATGTTTTAGAGCTGAAATAGACGAATATGTCTAACTCCCATGAGTAAGGCTAACTCTGTATCATTCAGTCAATTTTTAGAGAACCTCTATTATGTGTGTGGTATTAGGAAGTAGGAAAACAAAAACGAATAAGCTCTCAGGAGATCCTACTGTGTGCACGTGTGCCTACACACACATGTGTGAGTTCTTGATGGGGTCAGGGAACAAGAGAGGTAATTTAGGATGGTTTATTCCTAGATTCTGTATTTTTCTATGTATCGGATGGGAGAAGAGAATTTAAGGACAGCAACACTGATTTTAAAAAGCTGCCTTGGGCAATGAAAAAAAGAGCTGCCTGGAAAAACGGACAGGTGTTTGAGTAGGGCTGACCATCCTCTGGAGACTGACAAGATGAAGGATCCACATCTGAGGTATATTCCTTCAGGCAAAGTGGGCCTCTGCCATACTTTGAATGTATTCATTCTCATAGATCCTTTAGTACTTCATCATTTTTACTCTTATTTTTGATTAAGGTGGGTTTAAAATTCCAACTTTTTTTTCTTAGAAACCTTAAGTAGACTAAGGATTCTGTCAGGAAAAAATATTCCTCTGAATAGGGATTTGGTAACAACATGCTAAGTTAGGAGCCAACGTAACAAGAGTAAAACAAATGATTCAGAAGATCATATTCACAGCAGGGACCGTGAGGGTTTTAGGAGCTCCCCTCAGAGCCCCAGGTGCAGCGTGACATTGCCAAGGACATGCAGGGAGCACAGCTCCAAGGGGCTCCCTCTCGATGTCTAATGAGGCCAGGCAACCTGCCAGCACCACAGGCTTCTGTGGGGCAAGGGCGAGGTGGTGGTGAGCATCCATTTTTTTTTTGTTTGTTTTCCTCCGAGGCAGAGTCTTGCTCTGTTGCCCAGGCTAGAGTGCAGTGGCATGATCTCAGCTCATTGCGACCTCCGCATCCTGGGTTCAAGCAATTATACTGCCTCAGCCTCCCAAGTAGCTGGGATTACAGGCGCACGTCACCACGCCTGGCTAATTTTTGTATTTTTAGTAGAGATGGGGTTTCACCATGTTGGCCAAGCTGGTCTCAAACTCCTGACTTTGTGATCTGACCACCTCAGCCTCCCAAAGTGCTAGGATTACAGGCATGAGCCACTATGCCCGGCGCATCATCTATTTTTATTTTTTTAAAACATATTTCTTCCTATAAAATTAACTTGATGTCCAAGAACTTGTTCCTTTTTTCATATTGAGATTTAACAAATATTTATGGAACACGTACAAGGTGGTAGGCATTGTGCTACAGACACCGCCTTGAGGGAAATCAAAGCCGAGAGGGAAAACGCAGGAAATGAAAAGTAAGGCAGGTGGGATGGGGAGGGCCTGGAAAAGGGGAGAATCCTTGAGGGCTGTGTTTTAATCCATGATTTGGAAAAAAAGGTTTCCTTAAATAAACAAATGTATACACTATAAGACATTATTAGGGAACAATAATTTCATTTGATACACTGTTGTTAAAATTACTTAAAATAATGAGAAATGAAAATGATTGGATGCCAAGCATTGTTAGAAAGTATATCATATTTAAAAGTGTTCACAAGAATTTGTCAATTCTCAAGTTAAAGCTGTTTCATCACTACACTGAGACCTGTTTTCTAAGGTATATACCAAAAAAAGATTATGCCTTACCCGCCAGAGAGGACGCTGTCATAAAAAAAATACAAACAAACAACAACAAAAAAAAAAAAAAAAAAGAAAGAAAAAAAGAAAAATTATGGCAAAAAAAAAAAGAAAAAAAAAGAAAAAAAAAGATTTCACCTTTCTTTTCCTTCCATGAGACAAGGGGCTAACAACTGTGTCAACATGAAGTTCTCCACTAGAGGGAACTAATTCCACGTCCTCCAATCGTGAGCTTCATCAGGATGTGTCTGAGAACAGTGCTCTCTCCATGTTTAGATTGTACCCAGATAATCATGCTGCATTGCTAAATGGGAACGACACTTTAAAGTGGTTTTTATAAGATTTCCAGAAAAAGATAGTTTTATATTTATATAAATAAATTGAAGTGTATATTTTATGTTACAGAAAAAACCCACATCAGTTGAAAAATAATTGTGTTCAAGTCGCCTGCCATGAGTAACTTGTGATTCTTCACTGTTCTGCTCTAGAGGTCATGTGCTAATATCTGGGTGAATTTGATGAGAGGAGAGTGGTGCCTCACTTCCCAGGAAAACAATGTTTGGGCAGTTCATAAAATGCACATAGTGGGACCCTGAACTACATAGCTTTATGACACATTTCCAAAAACTCCTAAGGCAAAAGTCTCTGGCTGCAAGGAAAAACCTCCTGACACAGTATCTAAGATTCAGAACTGGTCGCTCTTAAAATAGGAAGCAAAGCTTATGCTGGGAATTATCTGTGCCTGCCCTGATTAAAACGCTTCTTCAGAACAGGCCATTTCACCTAATTCTGTCAACCTATACATCAAGATTTGGAACATGGTCCCCTAGCAAAAATAAAAAAAAATCTCATTTTAAAAAGCACTGCATTTAGTACCCTCCAAAGTGAAACTCTAATTAATCACATGTAGAGGAATCAGAGAATTTGAATCTCAAAAAATTGTACCACGACCACCTCTTCTTTAGGGTCAAGACAAAAAGAACTTTATAGAAATGCACACCCTACTGAATTGCCAAAAGAGTTCCCAGGGTAGTTAGATTTTGTCCCCCATGGTATGAGTGCAAATGGAGAGTACCCTGTAAAGCTGGAAGCAGTGTCCTGGATGGGGTTGCAGGCTAATGGATGTTGAAGGATTGTTGGGGGTCAGGGTGGAAGGGCTGAGAAGTCCTTTCTGCTTGAACCTCAGGGTGAAGCAGCCTGTATGAGGGGTGGTCTGGGGGCAGATACAGCAGTTAGAGGACTCAGTGGGACTTATTCCTGCTGCTCTGCCAGGGACCACAAGTAGAGAAAGGGAAGGCAAGGAAAGGAAAGGAGCAATTACTGTGATTCCTCTTAGAGCCACTGCCAGGTCTACACTTTCAGGACTCATTAGACTACAATGGCTTAAACATTTCAGGGTCTGCTTGGAGAGAAATTATGCCAGGCCTGTGCTTTCCAATGAGTAGTGGCCAATTTTTACCTTTTTAGGCAAAGCTCCTCTACTTTTAATTCTTAAATAATATATGTTGGCTCCTGTTTTACTCACCCTGGGTTGTATCCACTGTCATTTCTTTCACTTAACAAGATTACATTTTTGTCTCATGACGTACCATTAATTTTCAGGCAGGTTTCAAAACTTTTGCCTCCTTTTTCTTCATTCCTGTGGGGTCTTTTATTTTTTTAGAATAAAAAACCCTATGAAAATTTTGTTCATAACCCTCCAGAATTCCAACCTACCTATATAAAATCTGACAAATAAAGAGAACAGCTTGATGCTCACTGTTCATGAAGGGCTTGTGCATGTTTCCAGTGCCTCCCTCAGCTCTGGACATCCCCATACAAGTATAAGAATATGAAAATATTTTATAAAAATGTTAGAAGGTGATTAGTCCGTTCTCACACTGCTAATAAAGACATACCTGAGATTGAGTTAATCTATAAGGAAAAAGAGGTTTAATGGACTCACAGTTCCACATGGCTGGGGAGGCCCCACAATCATGGCAGAAGGTGAAGGAGGAGCAAAGGCATGTCTTACATGGCAGCAGGCAAGAGAGTGTGTGCAAGGGACCTGCCCTTTATAAAACCATCAGATCTCGTGAGACTTATTCACTATCATGAGAACAGCATGGGAAAAACCTGCCCCCATGATTCAGTTACCTCCCACTGGGTCCCTCCCATGACATGTGGGGATTATGGGAGCTACGGTTCAAGATGAGATTTGGGTGGGGACATAGCCAAACCATATCAGAAGATTAAAATTTTGTCATCTGTATCACCTAGAAAAAGGTAAGACATGGTAGTTACGTGCAGATTTTGTAAGCAGGTTGTCAAGATTGTATCTTTGGCTAGATTTTTATTTCTTTGTGACATTGAGCATATTACTTATCTCTCTAAGTCTCTCTGTTAGCATAACTGCAAGATGGGCATAGAAATACTGCCTGCCTCCAGGATGTTGTGAAGGTTGTCTGAGATCATACATAAGCACAGTGGTTGGCAGGTGGCAGGTTAGTGTCCAACCCATCAGCTGTGACTCTGCATCCTTCTATTACAGCAGCACGGGCAGCAGCTTAGTGCAGGCATGACCATGTGCTTCTCTGCTGTTCCTGCCACCTCCACTGACAATCACACACACAATGAAGTGGGCGAGTTATTATGCAGGATGTTTGAACAATATGGAGACCACTCCATCCTTTTCTGACTTGAGTATTCTGAATTATTGCCTTATAGCCCCCTCACTTTGGCTTCTTTGCTCTATTCGTGTTCACCTTCCTCTTGGTCATTTATGTCAGATTACCACCAGGCCTCCAGAATGGCAAAAATCAGATTAAGGAAAAAACTGAGACAGACAATGTGCTTCTAGAATGGCAGTGAAATGGTTATCTGTCATGAGTGTTTTGAGTCCACCTCATGAAATTGCACTTTGCTTGATTTAAAATCTGAAAAATATTCTGAAAGCCAAGCATAAAATTTGCTAAGAGGAAAAACAGTGTGACGCTCCATAATATACCTACTTGCTAAATATACTGATTTGTAGTTTATTTTAAAATTGATTTCCCACAGATTATAGGTGTGTACGCCTCCTCCCAACCCCCAAAGCATGCCAATTTATTATTAATTAGGAGTACAGCCTCTGGAGCAATACTGCTTGGGTTCGCATTCTATTTGTCACCCTCACAATCCTACTGACTTACTATTAAGTTATTAGGGCCATAACTTATACTCTCTGAGCATGAGTTTCCACTCTAAGGAGGGGATAAAAAGTCCCTTGGGTTGGTGAAATGAGATAATGCATGTGAAGGGTCAACAGGGCATACTGAGTTGTTATTTTTATTGATGTTATTTGGAGTTAAACTGGAATTTACTTCTACGTGTTTGCTATATTTTATGTTTATAAGCCCTCATGTTGTCAGGCTGAGCAACTGAGTCATGGTTGATAGACTGTGTTCAATGGGGCTGGGTCATAGGTTCCAATAGAATGAATGGTGTTTATTTGAAGGAGGCCGTGTGGTACGTGTATAATGGCCTGGGAAAATCAAAGGAACCTGGAGTGTAAACTTAGCTCTGCTGCGACCTTTGGCAAGTACAGTAATGCTGTTGGTGCCCCACCCAGGTCGCCTTTCTCCAGCTGGTGCCCCATCCTCTCCTGCCCCACTGCTGGGAGGGTAGCCTGTTAGTGGTGCCCAGCTGCCACTTCGCTGGAGCAGCCCCCTCAGCTGATGGGTGTTGCTGAGCCAGAGGTGCCTAGGAAGTTATGCCTCCACCATCCCTGGGTGGCCTGGAGTCAGTGGTTGGCTGGCATGAGGGTGCAGAGGCTCAGCCCCCTCACCTCAAGGTGAGACAACTGTCCATGAGGGGCCACTCATGCTCAGAGATCCCTGTGCAATCAGGCTGAGGGTAGATGGCTGCTACCACCACCTCTTTGCTTGTCCTCTTCTCTGTTCTGCTTGCCCTGCTTTCCTAATAAGCTTCCCCTGAGAGCATCTTCTCAACACATCATTTGGACAAGAGCCCTTGTCTCAGGCTGTGCTTTTACAGAACCTCACCAAAGACCTAAGAGAAAGATTCTGGGCCCCATTTTTATTTGACAGAAAATGAGAGAGTTGGATCCATTTTCGATTATGGGTCTATTTAATGAATATCTATCTATCTATCTATCTATCTATCTATCTATCTATCTATCTATCTTTCGAGACAAAGTCTCGCTGTTTTGCCCAGGCTGGAGTACAGTGGTGTGACACAGCTCACTGCAACCTTGAGCTCCCAGGTTCAGGATATCCTCCTGCCTCAGCCTCCTAAGTAGCTGGGAGTACAGGTAAACACCACCATGCCTGGCTAATTTGTTAAAAAATTTTTGTAGAGACGGGGTCTCACTATGTTGCCCAGGTTGGTCTCAAACTCCTGGCTTCAAGTGATTCTCCTGCCTTAACCTCCCAAAATGCTGGGATTACAGGCGTGAGCCACCATTTGCAGCCATGAATACAGATTTTAACTTCCAGGGTATTTTTTACACTTTATGCTCTGATATGCAGTCATATTAATTCTATTCCCTTCTCTTTACTCATATGTCCCAAAAAGAGATCAGTGGAGGAATGATTAAAGATTCTCCAAGTTAAAATCTTTAAGCATCGAAATGTACCTCTACTAGGGAAAGCGAGGCAGATACATCAGGACATTCTGCCTTGCCAGGAGGAAATTGTAATACACAAAATCTTTTGAGTTTGAATGTAGAATGGTCAACATTTTCATGGCATGTACTGTCTTTTCATTGCTTCCACCATTGCAGACAAATTTCTAGTTCTGATAAAAATCTCCCAAGCTCAGCAACCCCTAAGGAAACCTTTAGACTCACAATCCTGGGTGTTATATCATTTTCACAGTATTTATTGTAAATCATAACATGTATACCCTATTATGGTACAGCTGAAGAAAAGTTAGTGAATGTTTGTTCGTTGGATATCAGCAACCCTTGGGGGCCTACTGAGACCTCCGTTTTGATAGAAAAAAACACCCATTAATATCATAGTCCTGATGGCCCACCAACTGATTACTGAGAAATGAAGTCAGGATGGAGAGTGCTATATTACAGTGTGCCACTCTTCCTTCCTGGACAGTTTTCTACCTCTCCTTGCACAGTGTTTACTTGTAATAGAAAATCAAGTGAGAAAAATGAGGAAATAATGTGAACATATCCAATTTGCCTGTTGATTTCCTTTCCATAAAATTGGCCATTAGCCGTACAGTAGCCCAAAGGGAAAATGTGCAGAATCTTTCAGATTCATAAGTTCTAGAAAATGTACTTTCTAGAGTTTGAATGTGATTCCTCATTTAATGGGAATTTGGAACTCAGCATGTATACAATTTCCCTTAGAGTGATCAGTGGAGCATTTTGGGAGGGCAAGGATGGGACAAAAGACAAGAGGGAACATGAACTAACTGTGGCCTCACACTGTGCCAGCCATGTGACATTTGTCATGTAGCTTAACTGTCCCAAGAGCTGTGCAAGGCACATGCTATGCTCCTCAATACAGGTGAATAAACAGGTTCCAACTTATATATGTGGTAGTTACAGAGCAAGTGTTTGAATTTGTACCTGGACTCGCCATGAGAAATGAATGCATTTGTTAGACCAGAATTGATTAAATTGATACTGTTATTTATTAGATAACATTTACTGGCCAATTTATAAGTATGTACTTATAAATTACATGTAACTGTATATTTACAAATAGGATGAACAAAACTATGTTAATTGACAGTTAAAAATATAATGTTATATGACAGGCTCAACTGTAGCAATTCAGTAGAAAATTAGCTTCAACTCCTGAGTTCAAAAGTATAACTGACCTAGTGTAGGCTTGTGAAATGGAATCAGAGAACAAAAACAAAAAGAATATTAGATTTCCTTTTCCTTCTCAAAGACACCATGCCATTTTGTATTGATTGTTAATTTTGTAGTATCCTTTGAAGGTGGAGCAGATATTATTTTATAGATTGGGAAAACTATACTACAGAGGACTTAATTAATCCGTTGAGCCACTTATTTAATAAGTGTCAGAGGTAGTATTAGCTGAGACTCAGGTCTATAGTTTATCATTAAGCTATTGGTTCTTATGGAAGATTCTTTAGAAACAGACGAGATCTTCAGATGTGAAGCAACATTAATTAACTCCATAATATTTTTGAGTGTTTACTATGTACCAGGGTTTACAGGAACCACAGGAGACACAGAGTATCTTGAGCCATAGTACCTGTTCTTAAAATTCTTGTCATCTGCTGAAAACACAAGACAAACCACTTAAAAACCAGTTCAAGTCCCTTTCTGAATGATTGTTCAATTAAAGTCATTGCCAGAGGAGTGGTATATCTGAGAATTTATAGGTGTTATACATCACTGTGGGCACAAATAGGTTACATGGCCAGTGGTAGGGGGTAAGTTTTGTGTTGGGCTCTGGAGACTAGAGATCGGTAGGCTGAGGGAAGAGGAAGGACCAGGCAAACAGAAATGCAAATGTGGACAGGAGCGCAGCACTCAGAGGGGGATGGGGATGGAAACAGAGAGCATGGAATAGAAGGTTTATTTTAGGATGTAGTTGCAAATGGATTTGGAGCAAATGATCAGGGCCAGATGGTATAGGACATCTGAGGCCCAACAAGATGGTCTATGCCTTATTCTGTAAGAAAATGGAGCCAAATGGGGATTTTTGCACAGCAAAGTATGATAATGAAAGATTGTTATAGCAAGATAAACCTGAAGACTATTGAAGGGGGAAAGAGAATTAGATGCAGACAGATAAGATGAAATAAAATAATATATATGAAACATATTACATATATTAGTCCTAATATCATTTGTACAATTATATGACACAACAATTTAATCATGAAGTAATGAGAGCTGGGTCCAAGGTGATGATTACAGAAAGAGATAATCAATAATGAGAAAGTTGGAGGAGCAAGAATCAATATGATTTGGCGATTAGTTTGAAAAAGGGAGAAAAGAAGACTGAATTGCTATGTTTCTCTTTTTTTTTTTTCTTTTTGAGACAGGGTCTCACTCTGTCACCCAGGCTGGAATGCAGTGGCACAATCTCAGTTCACTGCAACCTCTGCTTCCCAGGCTCAAGTGATCCTCCCACCTCAGCCTCCTGAGTAGCTGGGACTACAGGCATGCACCACCATGCCTGGCTAATATGTTCTTCTTTTTATAAGATTCTTTAATCTTCATAATTTCAGAGTGTATTCTTTATACTCAGTTAAGCAATCCATTTAGTCTCTAGATCTTATTTGACTTATCTTTTAATTTTAAAATTATATTTTATGATTAATGATATCAAAGTGATAGATTCTCCCAATCAGGGATGAGAAATTTATATGACATGATCCAAAAGATTGGGACAAGTGACTTATAATGCAGTCTTTATGGTCTCCTGGTGATTTTAATGAAGCCATACTTTTATGCAATAAGTAGAAGATTATTACCTCACTCCAGGATCAAAAGATGGAGAGCTATTAAACATGAGCCTATTTTAAAGGCACCATTAGAACACACATATATATATATAAATTAAATTTTAAGGCTTAAAACTGCCAGAAAAGCTTTCTGCATGGAACACTGTACATTCTTCAAATTTGGTCACTCTTAAAACTCTTCATTATGCCATCTTGGCAGGGAATTGTGGTAGAAAAATGGGAGTGAGAATAGAACAGGAAGGGATGGTGGAATAAGCAAAGTGTTTCCCAGTAACTGCTGGGAGTTAACCTGAGGTTAGTCATAAAAAAGAATCATTAATTGGTTAATTCACTCATTCAGGCATTTATCTCCAGGAGCTCCTGGTTTCCAGAAATTATGTTCTATATGTAACAGATAAGGAGACAATTCAATCATATATGTGTCCTCAAGAAGCTTAGAGTCTATTGGCTACAACAGATTAGTAAACCAGAACTTAAAGACAACAAAGAAGTGCTATAAATACTGTATGCACACTGGGTTATGGAACTAAAGCAGCGGGGAGCCTCCATACAGAAGAGAGGTAGCTGAATCAGTAGTGGGCTGGAGGAAGGAGGAGGAGGCAGAGGGAGCCTCAAATTGGCTTCCAAGAGGAAGTGATGCTTGAATGCCCCTCCCTGTATTCCTACTCCCTCTTTCACCTTTGGACCTTTGCTGTATTCGGGCTGCCAGGGTTTTTTGGTGTTTTATTGCATTTGAAGAAATCTGAGAGCAGAAAGCAGGGAAATTTGAGTCCTGTCATGGGCTTTGTGTTCTAAAGGCCAGGACTTTGGTGGAAGGTGGCGTCTCGGGGTGTGGATGTCAGATAAGGTAGAATATGAAATAAGCCAGAGTAGGGTTTTCTATTCCCAAAGCCTAAGAAAACGCCCATGGGCTCAGGGGAGGGTGAAGTGTTAGAACGGCTGCTTTGTGGGTGCAGGTGAGACCCCTGGATCCTTCACCGCTGAGCCCTGGGAAGTGGGGGACCCTCAATAGGAGGACTGTGATCCTTGGTAGAGCCATGAGAAATGGCTGGAAAGTGTTTCTGGGGGATCATGCCTTAGATATGCCCAGGTTTTCCTATGCCTCCATTTGGGGTAGAATAGTGAGATGATTCTTGGGCATCTAACAGTGGTTTGGATACAACTGAAAAAGAGGAAGAGAGAGAGAAAAGGAGAAAGCAACTGCTGGAAATGAAGGGGCTGCATGAATAGCAACAGGGAACAACATGGTGGTAACTGTCCTGGGAATACTTATGAGAACCAAAGAGATAATGGACATTTTAGCAGATGACAATGTGCACAGATGACATCAAGGCAGATAGGGGCCTTACTCTTCATGTTGAGAAAGTCTCCTTAAAACGTAGAGGAAACCCTAGGAAACCAGAAGTAGGTTAGATGAATCAGAAAAGGGCTGAGATTGAGTTTCTACCATTTAGGTGAAATGACATCTAGCAAAAAAGCTTAGGTTGAGTTACAGAAAAATAAAATTGCATTTCTTGTTTTTTTGATTTGTAGACCCAGATTCATGCCCACTATATTGGTGGTAATTTTCAAGGGCAAGGAGTAGGGAAAAGGACAGGTTCTAGGCAAGTATTAATTCTTAGGCTTAAAAGAGAATGGCATGGTACCTGGAAAAATGTCCAAGTAGCAGGATGAGTCCAAGGGGGTGTTTAGCAGGAAATAGGGGTCAACATAGGCTGCCAAAGGCCAGATCAGAAAGGGCTTCATATTTCATAAGTAGAAGTTATCAGTTTCTTCCTGAAGGCAGTGTGGAAACACTGAGGAATTTTATAAAGAGAAAAACACTCAAATATAATTTAGAAAACCAGTTTAAGAGGTCTAGAGAGTGGACTGGAAAAAAACAGAATTCGAGGTGGGGACCAGGAGGAGACTGGCTAGAATTAGGGAGATCCTGAGTTCTCAGTGGGATTGGGGTTGGACGGGGGAAACAGTTGGGAGAAGGTGCCAGGTCTTCATAATGTTCGGCTATATGGGGAGGGGAAAAACAACACGGAGAAGCTGAGGATATTACTGGTTTCAGAGACTCACAATTTAAAAAGAAGAGAAAGGATTTGATGAGGAAGGTCTTGAGTTCCATTTCTGAATGTTGTAAGTTGGTAGTGTTTAAGAAAGGTCAGAGTAGTGACACAGAGTTCAGAGCTGAAATATGGGTCTGGATTTCAACAGAAAGGTAGATTGAGCTAAAGGTACTTTTTCAGGAATCACTAAAAGGTGGTAAGATAAGAAGTGGCCATGGTTGGGTGATTCAGGAAGGAGAGAAGAGGACACAGAATGAAACTCTGAGGTTAACAAGAGAAGGGAATCTGGAGGAGACCGAAGGTAGCCATGCAAGAAACAGAAAAATGATATATATGAGGCCAAAGGAGGAGAGAAGTTTAAGAAGGAGATAGTTACTAGTGCTAGATGGGAAATGAAACATGTGCTTTGGATTTGGTAGTGAGACCATTGATAATTAACTTGATAATCGAGGATGTGAGAGAAGCAATGAGAATGAAAGGTGGGAGAAGAACAATGAGGCAGCAAGTACACTCTGTTCTTTTAAGACATGTATTTGAGAAAGGAAGGAAAAACAATACCAGAGGAGGCACTGGATTAAGGGAGTTTCTTTAATACAAGAAAGAACCTATTTGTATGCTGAGGGAACAGCATTAGAAAAGAGGGTACAGCTGAAGGTAGAGGAGGAAAACTGATGAAGTTACTAGGGTTGAGGTGAATGACCTGGAGCCCTTGTGGAGAGAATAGTCTTTTCCTGCTCTGAGGTGGAACAAAGTAGGAGGTGAAGTGTGGGATGCAGTGAAGTTGTAGATAAGGGGACAGAGGATCTATTTAACACTGATTACACACTTGCTCTGCTAGAATCCCCCACGTGGACCAAAGAGATGGGTATGATTCCGTCCTTGTATTCGCCCTTCTCAAAGATTCACTTTAATGAAATGAATAAGTGAATATTTAACCTTATACTCCTTTAAACTGTAGACCAACATGTCCAGCAGTGGTCTACAGAGGGCAGGATGCTGGGAATGGCTACTTTCCTAGACAATTTTATTCTGACCTTGCTTAGAATTGGTAGTGCATGATGATAATAAAAATTTGTCTTTTAATCAGTTTCATTATGACCCTTCATTGTTATCTACTATAGATAACATGGCCTCCTATTGCCTGCAGACCCTTTCTTGCCACCGGCCCTTCGTTCATCACTGATGCCCAGGTCTGTGCTTCAAAGTTCCTCTTTGAAGCAAACATAAAAGCACAAAAATAATGTGGATGACCAGAGTAAAAGAACCAGAAAGAAGCTAAAAAATCAAGTTAAACCTCTTTATCTTTTAGAAGAAAATGAGGTCCAGATGAGTGAATGACTCAGGTGAGGCCACCAAACCCAGGAACGGCAGGGCTGGGTCTGGAATCCAGTTCTCCTGACTCCCAGTTAGCCTTAGGGAGAAAGTTCCATTTTCTCTACCTTTCCACACTGAATCACAAAAAGCAATTTAGTGATATCTACGTAAGTGAATGTCACATGGAGACCTACATTGCCCATCAAGAAACCACAGGTATTTTAGGGGAGGAGGTGGAAAGAATGACTTGATCAATCTCTGTTTTCTTCCTGTTGTGGAGTCAAAGGGTTCAGTGTTTAAGGACTTTTAGAGATAAACACATTCCTTTATTTTTATGTCATCCATTGTTCCTTGGCAATACTTTCAAATAATTATGAAGGATCAATTTTGTATTCTGCAGTTCTTAAAATCCCAAGCTATATTTTCTGAAGGGTGTGTTTGTGTGTGTAAACCATAACTATTTGCATAGGGCATTGTGATGTATCATGGGAAATATATTCAAAATTTATATATGTGATTTAAAAACCTCAGGCAACAAAATATATGGGGTTAGAAAATGGAGACATGGAAAATAAGAGGAGAATGAACCTGGGATATTACTTTGAGAACTTACTCTCCCACTACCCTGGTGTTCAAAGTTGGATACACTACAAGTCATGTTTTAAATATAAAATTAAAGCTTCTTATTTTAAGAAACGCCATGGGAAAGCTTTACTTAATATTTTTGAGAGGCAAAGAATTAGTCTCTCATTTATGTATTTTGCAAATCCAAGTTTTCTTACATTGGATTTGCGTTTAATGGAAATGTATTGGTATAAAGTGAATCACATGTATAATACATCACAAAAAAGGTAAGGCAACAAAAATAATGTCATGGATTTTTTTTTTCTTTAGATAGAGTTTCACTCTGTTGCCAAGGCTGGAGTGCAGTGATGCTATCTCGGCTCACTGCAACGTCTGCCTCCCAGGTTCAAGCAATTCTCACATCCCAGCCTCCCAAGTAGCTGGGATTACAGGCATGCGCCACCTCACCTGGCTATTGGCCAGGCTGGTCTTGAACTCCTGGCCTCAAGTGATCCACCCACCTCAGCCTCCCAAAGTACTTGGATTATAGGCGTGAGCCACTGCGCCCGTCCAGTGTCATGGATCTTGATACTGAATGTTTGTTGTGGTTAAAAAATGCAGAGCTAAAACTTTAAAAAAAATTAATCTGTGGCATCAACTCCTGCCTAACTCCAGACAACGTGGGCTTTTGCAGGAAACACTCTGAGTTCATTCTCAGTCTTCTACCTACCAGAGTTTCATGACAATTAAACAAGATAGCATCTTGTGAGGTCAGTGAACCTCAATAAGCTAGAAATTGTCTTGTAGTTGAAGATGAACTTTGCTTGGATCTATACCATCTTGAATCTAGACAAGCTTAGCAGAATCAGACATACCTAACAGATTTTATCTAACACAGTTGGATTCCTTTGGGAGACAAGAAACACTACTTCATCTGACTGTCCATTTAGTGGTGAACAATTCTACCCAATTATGTCAATCATTACTAGTTCTTTCTTTTTTAGTTGATGAATACTCTTTTTATAAAAAGCCACACGTAGGGTATACAGAACAAGCTCTTACCTCTCTTGAAGTCCTATGGGCTTCATTTTGAAAGGAGAAGGGCAAACAGAGGTAGCGGTGGTAGCTTTGATCTCAGGAGCACCTCGGCCTTGAGGGTCCACGACAACATTCAGTACCTTTGGGGCCTGCTCAGGTTGGACCATGCTGTGGACTGTCTTTGCCTCGGACAGTGCTGGCTGTAATGTGATGGGCGATAGGTGGATCTCCTGGTTTTTCTCTTTGTCTTGTCTTAAGGAAAGCTGAAATCTTTCTTTTAATCTGTAAAGAATCTATAGAAGGAGATATAAAAAACTCCTGTCACATTTTCTCACACTAAACAAGAGTATGATCTCCTCCACCCCACCCTGGCCGACAAACCAAAATAAAGGCTTAACGATAAAGTAAACAAAGCCCTCTGAGAGATGATTTCTCAGTTTCATGGTATTGAGATTTTTCTCAAGACAGTACACTTGGTATTTCCAGTTATGCTGCACATATGTATCAAATAATTGTGCACATGAATCTGTTCCACAAAGATATATTCAAAAGTAAATTTAACCAATTTTATGAAAAATGCCAGATGTTAGTTTGGTCACATGGGGAAATGGTAGGCTTACAGAAGGAATAACCGTAAAACACACGTCTATGACATTTATAGAAATGGAGATATACATCCAACATGGCTTAGTAGAAAAAAGTAGTCTTGCAAGTATTAATAAAATAATAGTTATGCCATAAACCACAGTTTCTTATGTTGGTAAATCTCTGCATTAGTCATATATCAACTTGAGTATCTGGTAAATACTTGACAAATTAAATTTAGGGTATCTATGAAAGAATAATTTGGACAACCAGAATTTTTATTCTTACCACTTTGCCCTCTTAAATTTTAATATTTATTTTATTTTATTTCGATACAGGATCTGGCTCTGTTGCCCAAGCGAAAGTGCAGTGCTGTGATCATAGCTCACTGTAACCTCGAGCTCTCCTTAAGGGAAAAGACTATGCACCTACGAGATAGAACTAGAAATGCATATTAAACATTGAACTCCTAAGAAAAGAAAGACATTTTATTGTTTTTTATGTCAGTCCACCTCCTTGTAATCTGGAAACTTTTATACTGGTGATATTCATTGACTCTGGTAGGGTAAAGTTAAAGCTTAAATTTTGAAAAAAGGGTGGATTTGGAATATTCACATGATAAATATTTATCACATGAATGAGAAAGAAAAGATGTCTGATATTAAGTAAAAGGTCTTCTTACCTTTATAATAACTACTTTCAAGCAAGTGTAATGTGTTTTTTTAAGCTATAGGATGGAAAAGACTGAAGATGAATGCCTTTATCATGTGCATAGTGTCTAAGGTTTTTAACTCACTGCTTCTCTTCAGTTTCCATGACCTTCACGGTGTAAAAACAAAACCTGCACTAGAACAGTATCAATCAGATGATACATATATTTTAGGCTTATTGTGTTCAGCTAAACATTTAATTACTAAACGATGAGGCAACAGAATTTAAAATATTGTTTTAGTTGCAAGAAAGTTATTTTCCCAAATGAAGAAACAAATATATCTGTACCTTTACAAAAATACACTTAGAAGATAAGGCATATATTATATATTTTAAGCTCTTCACATCTAAATATAATATGCATATGAGAACATTTGCTTGCCTGTTTACACTTGGATTTTGGAGAAATATGAATCAACAACGAAAATGGGAAAGCCAAGGAAATCTTGACCTTCTCAATTGTTCTTGACAGGTCAATTTTATGATTTATATTAGTGTAAAACAAAGTCTAGTCCAAAGTCCTTCCTTACCATTCATGAGCTTATGTTTTTGATGAGAAACCTTTGTAACATATTTTCCAATCAGTCATCTGTTTACTTCATGTCTGGTTACAGGTCAACTTTGCAACCTGTCTCTGTGTGGTACGTGTACAAACTGATTTCTACATCTTTAATTAGGGAAAAGTAGAACCTGGAGAATGTATGATGTATATAAGATAGTGTTTAAAAATACTCAAGAGATTGGGCTGTCTGAAAAAATATGGAAAAAATGGAAGAGATTGCTACTTGGCAATAGGGTAGTTGTCATGAAATTAAGCTATAAGGCAGTGATTCTCAACTGGCAGGGATTTTGCCCTCAGGAAACGTTTGGCAGTGTCTGGAGGTATTTTTGGTTGTCATATTTTCAGGGTGTGGGGGAAGGAGAAGGGAAAGGGTGCTACTGGCATCTGGTAGGCAGAGGCTAACTACCTTTACAATGCATTGGAAAGGCTCACCACACACCCCCGCCAACAGAAATAGTAACTCCGAAATGTCAGTAGTGTTGTTTGTAAAACCCTGACGTAAGGGATCATAAAATTTTTGTGGTGTAATCTCCTCATTTCACATTTAAGTCCTGAGCTATTGGATGAGTTATGGAGGTTTGGAAAGAAAACCTAGAATCCAAGTTTTGTGACTTCCAGGTATGTGATCATTCAACTCTATTGTTTCCTCCAAAGTCTCATGTCCTTCTTTGAAACCTCTTTCCGAAAGCATCTGGAAAAGTGTGTCAGAGATTTTTCTCTGCACAGATTGAGATCTGGAATATAGCATATTCATATTTCTCTATGGGAATTCACTTTGTTGAAAAACTCAACCTAAAAGCTTACCGTAGCAATGGCAAGTCAACATTTTGCCTTCATCTCCAAGAGCTTGTTTGACTCTTGGACTGGAATAAAGTCATGTAATAATTTAAAAAAGGAAAAGAGAACAGATTATTGAATGAGAGGAGCTGTAAAACTCAAACTATAGCAAGAGAAAGAAAATAATAGTGGGAATAAAAAAACCAGAGGAACACAGAAATGGGAGGAAGCTAAAAAAATTCGATGAAGCTTTTCTGCAGCTTAAAATTTTCGTTCAAAAATCTCATGAGTAACACAAAACATTCTGTCAAATGTGTTCAGATTTCAAAACGATGCCACCAACCACTAGTCTTTAACATTTGTTCTTTACAGTGTTTTACAATTAGTTCTGAAAGAGTTCATTCACTCTTTTAATTTAATAATCCTGAGTCAATCCCTACTACATTCCATAAACAAGATATTGTAGATGCAAAAGTAACACAGAACTCTGTCTTCTGGGAATTCATAGGCTTCCAGAAAAGATAAATGTGTAAAAATTATGTTCAGTACAAAGTACTAAGTGCAAAAATAGAGGTGTGCCCACAGCACAGAGGTATAATGTGGCACACATTTACCAGTTCCATCTGGGTAGAATGGCTCTGATAAATACAGCCATTCGCATCTGCTACTACTGGAGTTATTTGTGGCCAGAAATATATGTTCACAAGACAGAGTGATAAGACTAAAAACAACAACAACAACAACAAACAACAACAACCACAGTTTGACTCCTTTATGAAAACAAATGGAATTATGGTAAAGAATGCTGACTTTCAATTTAGATAGACTTGGGTTTGAATTTTTACCACTTTCTACTCTGCCACCCCCATATCCACCCATTGCATGTTCTTGGTCAAGTCATTTATTTTTTCTGAATCTTAGTTTTCTCATAAGTAAAATTAGGAAACTAAAACATGTTAGGCATTTAGCACTACAGTAAATTTAGTACCAGTTTAGTACCAATAAGTGTGCAATAAATGGAAGAAACTAATTTTTAATGTTATTACTATTAAGACAATTGTATTCTTCTTAATACAGAAAAAAAATTGAAAATTAATTTGAGATATATGCCTACCTAACCAATCATTCCAGTTAGGAATCTGGTCCTAGTTCCCTTCATCCCGAGGGATTATATTTAACAAATGAGAAAATTATGTCCACCTTTGACATGTATTTATTACATGATGTTAAGGCTATAGCAGGTGGTTCAATGTAGGATTTCTTGCTGCGGCTACCAGACTACAACTAGAGAAACTCTTTCCCTCCCATATGGATGACTCTCCTATGGGTCTAACATGCCAGTGTTTTTATTGATCCAAACAACTATTTTCATGTGATTTCTAAAACTGCTTTCCAGAAGCAATCTGGCCTGTAGACATCTCTAGCTATATTTCATAAATGTCTTTGTACTTGTTAATAAACCTGTAAGGACATTTGGATGTCTAATTTAGATGATAAATGGTGTTCTTTCTATTATTTGTTCAAGTTTAAGAACTAATTCTTCTTAGTAAGTTTCTTTCATCTAAAACAGACTGAATGGATTGGAAGTTGCCCACACATTTTTTCTTGGAAAACTGTATTTTTCTATTTGTCGCTCCACCCACTGCACATTCACATTTGTGAGGTGCTAAATAAGTCAGCATATTTGAAAATGTCATGCCTGTCTAATTTTATGCCTGGCAACATTTTTTTTTTGTATTTTAAGGAAAGTAAACAATATGCCACTTTTCAAAAATTCTGCCAAGTCTTATGTTGTTGTTACATAGCACATACAACCTTCCATTACAGCAATTTACCTATATAATTTTATAATAAAACCCATGCTTTTCATTTCTACGGCATGTAGGAATGCCAATGCAAATGGAGGCACTTGATTTGTTATAAATATAATCAATGCCAGGGGGAAAATTCTGAGTTATATCTTTCCTTTGTCATGGAATCAACAAAACTATGGGAAACAGAGTTGGAATACATGTGTTTCAGAATCACGAAAGTGATAGTACAAGTATCACTGAGAAATGCACGTGAAACACTTACTTTAAATCAAGCTTATTATCAAAATAATTTGAACACTTAGAAAGATGAGCTTATTTTAGATAATCGCTTTGACATGTCCCTAAACATGAACTCTTGACTCCTCTGTGGTAAGTTCCATCAGATAAACTTGGCTTTGTGCTAATCCTATTAGGTAGTACTTCTTTTCTTGTGAATATGAACTTCCCGTCTGTGTGCTGCGGGTTCCTCTGTTACTTTTCAGAATTTGTTTTTATTTATATATTTTTCAGAGGCAGAGAATCTGAAGCCCAGGCTGGAGTAAAGTGGCATGATCATAGCTCACTGTAGCCTCAAACCCCTGGGCTCAAGTGCTCCTCCCCGTCAGTCTCCTCAGTAGCTGGGACTACAGGCATGTGCCATCAGCCTGGATGATTTTTTAAACCCTTTTTTTTTTTTTTGTAAAGACAGGGTCTCACTGTGTTGCTTAGGCTAGTTTTAGACCCCTGGGCTTATGCAATTCCCCTGCCTCTGCCTCCCAAGTGCAGGGATTACAGGCGTGAGCCACTGCACTTGGTCCCCCTGTTACTTTTAAAAGTGACTCCTTCAAATTAAAATTTAAGACAGTGTTTGAAATCCATCTAATTATTTCTTTCATTTCTTTAAGAACCATCTGAACACGCTCATCCTCATTCTGAACGTGTCCCTCTCCCAGGAAATGAGAACATTTCCACACAGTCAGGGAAGCCAAATAACCTAGGAGTCATCCTTAATTTTACCCCTGTTGCTGAGGATTGGGACACAGCAAGTTTTGTCGGTTCTACTTTCAAATAGATCTCAATCCTTCACTTCTCTCCTTCCCCACCACCCACCCCTGTTCTATGCCACCAGCATCTTCTTCACTGGGATATTGCAGAAGCCTCCAGAAAGATCCTCCTCCTTCCACAACTCTCCCCATCCTCTGTCCACCACCACTTTCTACCAGAAGAAAATGTGATTTTTAAACACACACAGCAGATCATATCAAGGCTCTGCCTAAAACATTCTTCCCCTAGAGCCTGAACAGGCTAAGCTTATTCTAACTGCACCCACAGTACCCTCTGCCTAGGGGTCCTTTACTCACATATTCACCCATAGGTCTCAAACATCTCAGGTTGCTCTGCTCCACTCACTCATTATTATGGTTTCTTCTTCATAGCACTTATCAACATTTGATTTTTTAAATTAATATACTATTTTTTAGAGTAGTTTTAGGTTTACAGAAAAACTGAGCAGAAAATACCAAGTTCTCACATACCCTTCTTCCCTATCTCTTCATTTTCCCGTTATTAACATCTTGCATTGGTGTGATTCATTTGTTGCAACTGATGAACCAATATTGATGTATTATTATTAAAGTCCATAGTGTAGATAGTGTAGATTAGAGCTCATTCTTCATACCTTGTACAGGTTTTGACAAATTCATAATGTCATGTATTCATCATTACAGAAAATAGAATAGTTTCACTGCCCTAAAATCTGCTGTCCCCTACCTAATCGTTCCCTTTCTCTGAAATCTCTGGCAACCACTGATATTTTCTATAGGCTTGACTTTTCCTGAATGTCATATAGTTGGACTCACATAGCATGTTCACCATTTGATTTTTTAAAATTAACTTAATTATTTTCTATGTCTCCCTCTAGAGTAAAGACTTCAAGAAAATAGGGATCTTATCTGTCTTGTTTTCTCCTTTGCCCACAGCACCAGCAACAAATAGACCCGCAGAGAATATTCTGCAGGAATCTGTTGATTGAATGAATAGATGAATCCACCTGCTAACCCAATAGAGAGCAATCACCTATACTTCTGAAATGCTCCTTTCTTGATTTGTTCTAATAACGTTAGAGTCGACTTCCCTAAGTTTCTGACCTTTACATTGATGTTTTGCAAATATTGGGAAAAGAAGAGTCATCCTCTGGCCCCAAGTGGTTGAGGGTGTGACTACTATAGGTCCTTTTGCCACAAGACCAACATAGGCATTTATCTAGTTACATTCAGTACATGAGCACGCCCTGAGTTAGAAATGCAGAATCTGAAACACATTCTATATGTTAATAGCAAGCTCTGCTCTGTTTCTGCTGCCCTTTAGTACTCAAAGGCTGGGCATGACTCTGCTTTCCCACTTCCCTTCTTCTATCCTTGCCTTTGCTCTTCTGAATCACATCCATTGATCCCCTGAATATTTTCCACTTTTATCACTTTCAATTCCTTTCTATTCTCCCCCTTCTCTTATCCTTTCTCATCTGCAAAGCAGAAAAATACCCTAATTGTGACTGACAAGAGAGGGAACAGCACTTGAGATTTCCCATATAAAGGAAGAATCACGTATATTAAAATGCAATTAACCATAACAAGGAACTATGTCCTTTAAAACAGAGATGCCCAGAAGACGCTGCCATAATTTCCCAAAACCTCCCACTTTCTCTCATTAAAATTCTTTCCTCTTAATCTCTGCCATGTGAAATATAAAAATCAGTTTTTACTCAATTCTAAATTATTCTTTTGTTTATTGAGTCACAATTCTTAGAAATTTTTTTTTTCTTAATGCTTGACCCATAGGAGCTACCTCTGAATTCATTATGGTGGAAGATTTAGGGTACTCTTGTTACTTCACAGATTTTAAACTCTAGAAAACATGCTTATCTTCACCCTGTTTAAGACTGTGCTTGTTTTATATCCTCTAAGTTTAGCCCATGCAGCCTGTCTTTCCAGAGGGAGCCCCAATCTTTCTAACAGTAACCCCTTCCCAGTAGGGGAAGCAGAAATAAACAAAATCCAATAAAACACTTAGCAACATTGTTGATTGTGGAGAGAAATAAGTAACATAATGACTTTTGGGGGGCACTTAAAAACTAAGGAAGAAGTATTTATTTAAATGTACAAAATTAAAAAGAACATAGCTCACAGGGAAAAAGGACATTAAAACCTATTTGTAAACTCTAATTATTATATTACATCTTGAAATTTTCAAATGAGTAGAAACATCTTATTCTACCCTAAAGATACCGTTAGTTCATTCAATGCCAAATAGTACTGCTTAATTTAGTGGGTTAAGTTTGTTTTGGGTTCTATTTTTAAAATTAGAAACATGCTTTTAAAGGCTACACATTATTACTTACAGAGCTATTCCAGCATATACATTTATACTTTTGTACTATTTATCCACCTTAAAAATGAATTAGTAGTCTACCTAACTTAGCCTTTGAGGGTATAATCATCTCCTTTTCATAGAATGCTTTCAAGTCCTTTTAAAAATAAGGAAATCAACCATTCCTTAGGGAGTAATCTTGTCTCAAAGACATATCTCTTTTTAAATTTTTTCCTGAGTTCCATAAAGATGATATAAAAGGAGAAATAAAGTAAACCCAAAGTGTGCCCGTGAGACTTTACTGACTTTGAGGGCTTCAGTGACCTCAGTAAATCACTGTCTAAAGCTTCATTCTCAGAGTTGATCAAGTTACTAAAAACTGCATTGCAATTACAGCCTTATTATTCAGGTCAGCATCCTTAATTCCATAAGCTCTCCTTTAGCAATCGCTCTGATGTCAGATATGAAATATTCCTAATCTAGCAGGATCATAGTCTTCCTTCTGCTCGGAAGCATTTTAACATTCATTTGAATGGCAATGTACCCACTAATATCAAGCAGTGGGCTGAGCAAAGGATAAAATATACAAAGAAGCAAACTTACCATCAAACACGTTACTATAATAACAAAGATGCTGAGAAAAATGACAACAGCATAAAATCCTTCTTTGCTCCAGATTTTGTCCGCTTCATGCTGCCCTTGTAAAACATTTTTCTTTAAAAGCAAAACAGAAAGTCCGACGTTAAATGAGAGCTTGAGAAAACTGGCGTTCTTATCAGACACTAAACATATTTTTAGCCTTATTCCATTCAGTGTAGTGCAACACACCTACACCCCCCGCTGCCAGAGCTGCTTCTCAAACTGATCTAAGACAACAGACTGCCATCCTTATATATCGAGATTATTTAGTCTCCTATGCAGGAGCAAGCGTGCCTGACATGGCATCTGCAGGTCCCAGGCTTTCTAAACATCCCTCAGCGTCTCTCTTGGAAACTACCTGGTTCATAGGTAAGAGAGTTCTGTTCTTTTCTGTGTGGAGGAAATTGTTTCTGATTTCCTTACTCTGTTTTAAGTCCCCTCCCACAACATCAGCACCCTGGATTACGTGCTGTACTACCTCTTTACTTTTAAACAAAAGTGAAACAAGTGCAAACAAAAGCTTGTGGTGCATTAATAAATACAGCAACAATGCCAGCATTATTTCCTTCTTTCTTTTAATCACATCTTTTTTTTTTTTCAAATAGAGTCTCTGCTGTCAAAACCTGACTAAAATATCATCTCAAGAATACATATTGTTAGAATATCACATATTTTTCTAAAGTAATACGGAACATTAAAAAGTTCAGAATTATTTGTCAATAAAAGGTAGAATACACAGGTTTATCTTTATTTGTATCATTTTTGTTCCACTTTGGGGGTGGAAGAGCAGAGAAGAAGCATGAATAAAGTGTGCATGACTCTATTAATTTTATTTTATTAATTTTTTTAAAGAAGCACATTGACTAAAATCCATTCTTAGATTAAAATTCAGTTGTATAATTTAGTGACAGTATAGATTTATAGTTAACGAAACTAACTTGAAACCAAATAGTCCATGATTGGGAAAAACATATAAAGGCTAAATCAAGTCAAATGCTTTAACTCATCTAAAATTTCATTTTGTTGAAGGGTGCCTTTTTATTCCCTTTAGTGAGAGTACATGTCTGTCCTTGGTTATTGTTTCCAGTGATTAAGAAGGCCTGGAGTAAAACACGTCTTGTAGGTGTCTGAACTTTGAAATCATTGCTAATTTATTTTTAAGGCTTTTAAAAAATAAAATATACCCAACATTTATAAATCAGACAAAAAATTTACCTTGAAAAATATTTTATGAGAACTTTCATTCTGGAATGCAAGTGTGTTTTGGTGGGAAGATAAGCAAGGCTGAACAGAAAAGATTTTTGAGTTCAATTGTGATTACAAAAATTATTTGGAGAAAGCCTTTATTAAATGCTAACGTAATCAGGATTCTATTTTCTTTACTTGTAAAACAGCGATGTGCTCACTAATTATAGTAGAATAGTATCTGGCCTACTTTCTAAGACATAGATAGATGCATAGATACAAGAAATGATTTAGATATGTATTTTAAAGATATATAAATGATAAATCGATGGAGAATCTGAAAACACTTGATTGATAAATGATTAGAAACCAAGTACCCTGCTGCAAAACAACTTTGGGTTCAAGCGACAAATTTTCTTTCACCTCTTTGACGTCAGCCATATCGTTTTTTTAAATTCCAATGTCTCTATAAGCATAGCTGGAAACTAATAGAAAACTCTTGCAGAAATCAGGTATAAATATGGAAATGAATTTTTTACAGGCAACAAAATAGCATCCATTGTTTGCTATAAAAGCAAACTAGTTAAGCCTTCAAGTAGGCAGCATAAATTTGTCAAATTTAAGTATAAGGAGTTGAGCTTAAGCCCATGTAAAATTTGGATAAAAAGGGGTGGTTAGGTGGGTGGAAAGAGATTTTGTGTTCCTAACCCGATTTGGTTCATTTTTTTTTCTTGCTGTAGTTCTACAACTCCTAGAATATCAACATGTTCCTTTCTGCTTAAGACAAACCTGTTTTGTTTTCTTTTTTAACTGAAGCAGTAATGATGAAAGAATTAACTCCCACCCTCCCATCCCCCACTCCCAGTTAGAAAGACACGTTTTAAACTCCTAGAACTTAGTCACTGCACTTTCTTGGTAAATAGATTTCTTTCTGAGTCATGCTACTCCTGCTGAACACTACTATATTTGTACAGAGATCTAAAAAACTTGATAAGGGCAGGGTAATAAATGGACAAGTTTGTAGTTAAGAGCTCACAAATCAAAAGACTATAATTCACAAGAATCTTCAATCTAACCTTTGCATAGGGTTAACCCCATGCTTTTTATATTTTGTCAGGTGGCCGAGAGTTGAATAATTCAGAGGCTCTGTTGTTGGGTCAAGCCAATGCCACTATATCATCTTTATGTTTTATTATTTCATAGCTACATTTCTTTGCCCTTTAACTTAGTTGCAGTGAAAGAAGCTGATGGGTTTTGTTCTATTATTTAAAATTTGGTCAGTTTTCTGTATAGTTAACAATGGCTTCTCTATATCCTGTTTAATAATTTGATGCACTATAGCTCATTCTTCTTTCTTTTGTCCTTTCTTTTTAAATATTTTAATCAATTCTGATCTCAGATGCAGAAGGAGATCCCAAATGCTAGGAGAGACGATTCAGAGATACAGAGGATCTAGGAGATACACCTCTTTAAGAGAGAGGAAGTACACAGAATAAGAATGAAGTGCAAATGTTACAAAGTATCTGGTTAATTTGATTGACTTGGCAGATAAATGAGATGTATCCTATAACAATATGGCTTTGTTGGATAAATGCCAAGCTTCCACTGTACTGTGCACAATGTGAGCAATTGTTCTGAATGGTCGAATACAGGTTAATATTGATTGTATGTCTCCTCAGCACTGTATGGCTAGGTCTACACTAATTTAGACAAGACTACCTGCTAGTGTTCCTAGTTTGAAGGAATAATCATTAAACTCACACATTATTGTTTACATTTGTATGTAATGGCTTTTTTTCTTTGTAAATATTTCATGAAGGTATCAGTTAGCACATTGGACTTTTATTTAAAGAAGGTCACTTTCTCCTTTGAAATATAAGATTTGGAAACTGGAGTAATTTGCAATTGAACAACAACAAAATTCCTGAATCATTTTTAAAAATGTCAACACAGAACTTACCGTTTTAATAGGTATTTAATTCATTTTGTAAAAACATTTAATTTTATTTTCCTGGGATTTTACTTATTAGGCAAGAGGAGGTCTAGTTTTATCTATATGAGTGCCTATAATGTTCTAGATATCATATACAAATATATAAAGGAAATAATGTCTTTTCCTTTAAGAAACAGATTACAAATGAAAACAAATGACTAAACAAGAACAGTTTTCTAGTTGGGTTTTTTTGTTTCTGAAGAGTCATTTTCAATTTAAAAAATCAAGCATATGAAAAAACAATAAAAAACCATATCCTTCCATGAAAGTAATTAACGTAAGTTTAGGAATAGATGCTTTGAGACATCATTCACGATGTTCTATAATTCATGCAAAGGATGAAAAGCCAAAATACCAGTGATCCTTTTTTTCTGTTAATGAATATGTTGCCATAACATGTTATAATTTTAAGATTAAAATGTGAAAAAATGGGTTGAGGTATAAGTTGTTATAAAAGATTAACCACAGAAAAAATGAATAAAGTTGTAAGAAAACTCACAGAATAGCATTTACCAGTTTTAAGCAACTATCAATCAATATTTTTGCAGGGCTTCTTTAGGTTGTATCTGTACCAAGCACCTCCCCACTGGGGTGCCTGCTCACTACAGACAGCTTTTCCCTGTTTCTGCATTTAGAGATTCTGGTCAAAGGTCAAAGGGTAATGCCTGGCCCCTTCTAGGAGTACTCAAACAAAAGGTTCAAATAATCCCTCTGTCCTTCATGATATGCTCCTTATATCTGATTCAAATACTTCCTCATCTTCTGTAATGCATATTTTCTAAATTCTAGATTTCTAGATTCCAACAATTTTATGAGAATCTATCACATTTATCATCAAAACACTTTCCTTATTCAAATGTAGTCTATTGTGAGCTAGTAGCTCTGTGAGAGGCCATTAAGCTAAGTACCTCACCTTCACTGGACTGGGGTATATTGGAGGATGCCCAGGTACTTGCTTTAAAGCCAGCTCTTTTTGTATAGGGAGCTTCTTTTGGTTTGCAAATCTGAGTGACTCAGTAAGTTGCTCTATTCTTAAAGCCTTCAGAATGGCTTTTAAACTGAGAATAAAGCAACAGGGAAGGCCGTTTACATGATTCTCTAAAAGCTTATGGGAAGCAGGATACATTTATCCAACGGTCTTTCTAAAATTTAAAGAATTGTCCTAGGCAAGATGTGTACCAGTCAGTCCGTGTAGGGCCTTGACTGTGGGAATGGGGTTTGGCTTTGTGCACAAGCGGAACTGCTTCAGATTCAGACGTGGGCAAGGCTGGGAGGGGCCTGGTGGTTCACCTCCTCCTGACCCTCTCCTCTGGCCTCTCTAAAGCATAAGGGGTCTCTTCTCCAAGGCACCCATGGCACAGTGTAGTAACTTTATTCATAGAACTATATTCTTATTATCTCTTTGTGTCGTATTTGCCCTATTAGTGCATAAATTCATTGAGAACAAACATCATTTATTGTTTGTTTTCTTGTTTATTTATTTTTCTGGCTTTAGATATTAGCTAGCACAGTACTTGGCTATTTGCTCTTGTTGTTGTTGTTGTTGTTGTCTGTTTGTTTTGGGACTCCACCCAGGCTGGAGTGCAGTGGCCTCATCATAGCTCATTACAACCGTAAATTCCTGGGCTCAGGTGATCCTCCTGCCTCAGCCTCCCAAGTAGCTGGGACCACAGTTACACACCACCATGCCCAGCTAATTTTTAACTTTTTTTGTAAAGTCAGAGTCTTGCTATGTTGCTCAGGTTGGTCTCAAACTCCTGGCCTCAACCAATCCTCTTCTCTTGACCTCCCAAAGTGCTGGGATTACAGGCTTGAGCCAACGCGCCCAGCATGACTATTTGTTGACTCAGTTTTGTTGTGTGCCCATTGCATGCCAGGCACTAAATGAAGGCAATGAAGACACAGATCAAATGACATGTCACAAGCTCTCAAAAAACCCACAGTGTAGAGATGAGCCTAAAGACTAATATGGAATAAGGAGTTTTTGTTTTAAGCTTGACGGGAACACAGGGTAAGGAGCATCTTCGTCTGTGGAGGTACAAGGGATACTTTGCTACACAGTAGACTGATCTTAAGAAATGAAAGGTATGCATGGTGAAATCCCATCTCTACTAAAAATACAAAAAATTAGCTGGGCGTGGTGGCAGGCGCCTGTAGTCCCAGCTACTCAGAAGGTTGAGGCAGGAGAATGGCATGAACTCGGGAGGCAGAGCTTGCAGTGAGCCGAGATGCACCACTGCACTCCAGCCTGGGAGACAGAGCAAGACTCCGTCTTAAAAAAAAAAAAAAAAAAAAAAAAAAACAAACGAAAGGTATGTAGATGAAACAACACATACAAAAGCATGAAGGAAGGAGAGAATATGGTGTATCATAGATCTATCGAGTTTAGAATTGCTGAAATGTAAACTAGGAAAGTGTTGTTCAACAATTATAAAGCCCAGCATACAAAGGACCATATACCATATTAAGAAATCTAGACTTCATTCCGTAGTATTTTGAAAGCCAGAGAAGAATCACGAAATTAGGAGGGCATGGCCAAATTTATGTTGAGAAAGATTACTTTGGTGGCAGGAAAGAAAACACATTGGGTATGTTTGGAAACAGAACAGAGAGAGGCGCAAAACCAAATGCAGGAAGACCAGTTGGGGGTGGTTGTGACAGTGATGGTTCAATGATGACATATATTCTCATTGTGCCAAGTCATCCTGCATTCAAATTACATTTGTCTGCTACCTAGGCTGTGTGAGAATTTCTGCATATACTTTAAAAATTCAATCCATATTTCAAGTTTATAAGTGCTATACCCATTTTGGATTTGAAGAAACTAAGGCTCAGGGAGGTTGATACCATGCAAAGGCAGACAACCTCACAGAGATTAAATGGCCTGCCCATGGTCACACACATTTTACGTGTGGCTTTGGGATACAAACTCCATCTGGGTGCAAGTGATCCTGCTGCCTCAGCCTCCCCAGTAGTTAGGATTACAAACATAAGCCACCATGCCCACCCAGAGCTTTTTATACCACACCTGTGATACTAAAATGAGAGGCAGTGTGATTTACTGTAAAGGTGAATAGACCAGGGATCAGGACATCTAGATTTTGGACAGGGAAGATGGCTCACTCACATCTGTAATCCCAGCACTTTTGGAGGCCAAGGTGGGAGAATTGCTTGAGGCCAGGCATTCAAGACCAGCCTGGGCAACATAGTAAAACCCTGCCTCTATAAGAGAGAAAAAAAAGACACCTAGATCTTAGGTGGTGCTTTACGCCTCTCTTGTTCTGTCACCTTGAGGGAGTCACTTAATTTCTATGGGCCATACTTTCTGTATCTACAAGGTGTTACACATATTCCCTCCAGTTTAATTTCATGATTCCATGAATTGAATTACACGTATTTAGGATGATGATCCTTTCAGTAGGTTTGTTAGAGCGGGATGGAGTAATAGAATTGGAAAGGAAATTAAATCCATTCAGGAGTGAGATGGTGGAGGTGGTAGAGGAAATTTTTTAAAAGCGACAAATTTGGAAAATACTATGAAGAAACATCTATAGTTCTTAAGACTTAAGTTCTTTAAAAAACTATAGTTTCTTCAGAAAAAGAAAAATCACATTTCAAATTAATTTCAAAGTTATGGGAAAAGGCGAATATCTGGTGACCATTTTGACAATGACGACAATGAGGGGAGGGGTGCACCTGTAGAGAAAGAAAGGTTTAAATGTATTTTTGTTTATTTGACATATCAGTTTCAAGCGATCAATTGACAAAATACATCTAAATCTTCTTTCTTCTAGAAAATTTACTGGATAAGTCAAAATAAGTTATAAGGCCACAAAGGTTTGAAGAAGAAAAATGCCAAAAAGTGAAAACCTTAATGTGAAAGTGCATTTCCTTAAGAAGTAAACATATACAATGTAAAGATCAGAGAATTCTGACACTCAGGGAAATTTTTATTATCAAATAACATACAATAAACAACTTCCATCTCAAAGCCTCTTGGGGTTGAATTACCATAGCATGCTAACTGTTCACATTTTTAAATGAATTGTTTCGTGCAACAACATACCTCAGGAGAGACTTCTGTAATTCCAAACTGGGATAAACTTTGATGCAAAACATTGATATTAAGTGAACGAAGAACTTCCTCAGAGGGCAGAGCATCAGAAATTCCTGTTTTTCGGTTTATGGGAGACACAAACAGTTCAATACTGTTCTTCTTTCCCTAATAAAAGCAGAATATTTGTATTTGTTATAGACATTTTAAACAACTTTGGATAATATTTTTACCTGTCCTTTAGAAACATTAAAGGAAGTCAGAATTCTAGAATCCTAAAAGGCTTTGTGGAGATTATATTTATTAGTTATTCTCTGATAGACTTAATGTTACCAGTCCAAAGTCTAAAATCTTCAAATAGCTTTCTTGCCATTAGTTGCCACCCCCCAAGATTTGTAATTTTATATTTCAGTGCATGCTTGCATGCTGATTCATTTACCATTCCATATTGTAATTTTTTGATGTAGATTGTTCAGATGTTCCCTGAGTAATTATGTTTAAAGAAGCATTTTAAAATCAAATGAATTAAAGTCCAAAGTAATAGTAAAATTACAAAATTACATATTAGACATCACCACTCTCTCTATTATTTTTATAACTTGTGTTAATGTGAAGGCTTGGCTAGCTAAAGAAGATGGTGCCAGATGATCTTTGAAGTCCTTTTCCTGATACTGTTCTTCACGTCAAATATGTCACACATTTAAAATTGGTCATTTGGTGGAAATGCATATCTTATGTAGTGATGTCATGAGACTTTTCCTATTAGTATTACCTCATTAGCTGAAATGGAGTCAGAGAATTTCTTACCATAAATGTCTGATATCCTACACACACATACACACACACACACACACAGAGAGCAGACAAAACCATGGCGATTGATAATATTATCTTTCACAACTTACACAACACACTAATAGAAGGAAATTATTCTTAGCTTTCTTTCTGACACATGGAGAGCTCTCATGCTAGAAAGTTTTCTTTTAATGTGCTTTATCAGAATTTTAGCTGGTATAAAATGAAGTATCAGTTTACTACTAGCAAGCCAGTAAAAGTTTTTTCATGTTTGCAGAGAACAACAGACAATAACTAAATACTGATGTGAAACATGTTTATAACAATTTAAATAGTTTGTGACCCAATAACAACTACTGTAGGTACAGAGCACTTGTGTTGTGCCTAACATGCTATTTACCTTAAATCTTTTATCTCATTTATTGCTCAAAACACCGCTAAGCGATAGGTATTATGGTTATCTCTATTTTACAAATAAAACGTAAGAGGCTTGCCCACATTCACATACATGGAATATGGCCACACTGGAAATGAAGTATGGTTTTGTCTGTCTCCAAAACACATGATGCTAATCAACATGCTTTGCTATGTCAGGTATTGTAACTCTAGCTATTATAATAACTACTTTGAACCATGCTACTAACATTCTCTGAGGATATGATAAGCATATTCCTTCCTCAGTCTGGCAAATCCCTCCTTCACCCTTGCAAACAGCTATTATGCTCATTAAACCTAATATGTATAAAAGTATATCTAAGATATCTATATCATCTCTCTATATATCTTAGCAAAATATATATGCACAGGTTGATGCATATATATTTTTATATGTATATATTGTATATATATAAAAAATCTAGATCTAGATCCAAGACTTTTTTTCTTTTTTTTTGAGATGGAGTTTCGCTCTTGTTGTCCAGGCTGGAGTGCCATGGAGTGATCTCTGCTCACTGCAACTTCCACCTCCTGGGTTCAAGTGATTCTCCTGCCTCAGCCTCCTGAGTAGCTGGGATTACAGATGCCTGCCACCATGCCCGGCCAATTTTTTGTATTTTAAGTAGTAGAGATGGGGTTTTACCATGTTGGCCAGGCTGGTCTCAAACTCCTGACCTCCAGTTATCCACCCTCCTGGCCTCCCAAAGTTCTGGGATTACAGGCGTGAGCCACCGGGTAACCTTCACTCATTCAGGGGAATGTTGTATTTCTTCTTCTGTGGTATGAGTTAAAACTTTTTAACAGCTTGTTTACTTCTAGAACATTGTTGATTCACAGAATACAAATTTTTATGAAGAAATGAAACAACTCACTCTCTACACACAGAAAAAATAAAAAGAAACATAAACCCCAAACCAAAACAAAAAGCAAATTCCCTCCATAGTGAATGCAGATGGGTGCAATAGAAAGCTGAGCTCCATGCAGCAGAAGCACAGCAATTTAAGGCTGGGGGAACATGGAGTCCTTGCTTAGACTCCCATTGCAGTGGACATTAAGAGCAATTTAAAACCTGTACAGTGATCCCAAAGTTCCTTTTCACATAAAACTGAGGTGACTAGCTTTTTACAGAAAGACAGTCATCTGATCTGAATTTACTTTTTTTTTGGCCTTTGCTCACGCCCACTTTCCAGTGCAGATGGGAACATGTAGTTGCATGAAATCCAGGTTCCCAAACACCGAGGAAAGAGAGGAAATAATGGATGTGGGTGATTGACATATAGGCCTAGACTGGGCCCTATACAACAGATCCTTTGGGTTTACTTTTTTTTTTTTTTTTTTTACTTTACCCACTCAGATGCCCATTCAAGTTTTCTCTTGGTTTTCCTGGACTACCAATTCCTGCATTCCACCTGGGCTGCAGTCCTCAGGGTCAGTTCTTTATTCTTTATTTAAAATGCCCTGCCTTGTGCACTCAATGTCCATTGTTCTACTGATATACTTGAAAGTATATCAATAATGTCTGGAAACTGCCTCACCTGATATACTTGAAAGTATATCAATAATGTCTGGAAACTGCCTTACCTGATATAGAAGCTTTCACTCTAATGGAGAATATTTTCGGAGTAGTGTCAGGTTGGTAAGGCAAGTGTTTTGGGCTCTTTCATATTTACCACAGGACCTAGACTTGAACTATGACAGAGTTAACAAACTTCCTCTATAAAGGGCCAGATGATAAACAGTTTAGGCTTCATGAGCCAATCTTTTGCAACTACTGAACTCTGCCACTGTAATACAAAAGGCATCATGGGCAATGGGTAGATGAGCAGATATAGCTTGTTTCATAAAATTTTATTTGCAAAAACATGACGTGCCGGATTTGGCTCATTAGCCATACAACTATAGCATGAGCCCTTTAGTGATTAAAAAAACCACACACACGGCTTGAATTTTGGAAATGCGAAATGTGGGTATCTTACAATGAGGCGATTGATGTGCACTTGCTGGGGTAAGAGTCCTAAAGCTGCAGCCACTCCTTGGCGGAAGATCCGAAGCAAGGTTATGTTCAGCTTGTTTACATCCATTTGCAGTGTCTAGAAAATAAGGACAAAAATAAATCCAAATTATAGTATTAATTTGTATAGATGTATAGAATACATCCAAATAAGTATTAATAAGTTCACGACATTCAGTTCTTGACTCATGACTGACCACAGTTTCTGTGACTCTGCTAAGTTTACACTAATAATGCTTTATTGCATTTTTGATAGAAATAAAATTATAGGAACATTGCATGTGAAATTTTAAATGGTATTAGTTAAAAAGATGTATTATAGGGGTGGAGCCAAGATGGCCAAATAGGAACAGCTCCAGTCTACAGCTCCCAGTGTGAGTGATGCAGAAGATGGGTGATTTCTGCATTTCCATCTGAGGTACCAGGTTCATCTCACTAGGGAGTGCCAGACAGTGGGCGCAGGACAGTGGGTGCAGTGCACCGTGCACGAGCCGAAGCAGGGTGAGGCATTGCCTCACTCGGGAAGTGCAAGGGCTCAGGGAGTTCCCTTTCCTATTCAAAGAAAGGGGTGACAGACGGCACCTGGAAAATCGGGTCACTCCCACCCCAATACTGCGCTTTTCCGACGGGCTTAAAAAATGGCACACCAGGAGATTATATCCCTCACCTGGCTTGGAGGGTCCTATGCCCATGGAGTCTTGCTGATTGCTAGCACAGCAGTCTGAGATCAAACTGCAAGGCAGCAGTGAGGCTGGGGGAGGGGTGCCCGCCATTGCCCAGGCTCACTTAGGTAAACAAAGCAGCCGGGAAGCTCCAACTGGGTGGAGCCCACCACAGCTCAAGGAGGCCTGCCTGCCTCTGTAGGCTCCACCTCTGGGGGCAGGGCACAGACAAACAAAAAGACAGCAGTAACCTCTGCAGACTTAAATGTCCCTGTCTGAGAGCTTTGAAGAGAGCAGTGGTTCTCCCAGCATGCAGCTGGAGATCTGAGAACGGGTAGACTGCCTCCTCAAGTGGGTCCCTGACCCCTGACCCCTGAGCAGGCTAACTGGGAGGCACCCCCCCAGAAGGGGCAGACTGACACCTCACACAGCCGGGTACTCCTCTGAGACAAAACTTCAAGAGGAACGATCAGACAGCAGCATTCGCAGTTCACAAACATCTGGTGTTCTGCAGCCACCGCTGCTATTACCCAAGAAAACAGGGTCTGGAGTAGACCTCTAGAAAACTCCAACAGACCTGCAGCTGAGGGTCCTGTCTGTTAGAAGGAAAACTAACAAACAGAAAGGACATCCACACCAAAAACCCATGTGCACATCACCATCATCAAAGACCAAAAGTAGATAAAACCACAAAGATGGGGAAAAAACAGAGCAGAAAAACTGGAAACTCTAAAAAGCAGAGCGCCTCTCCTCCTCCAAAGGAACACAGCTCCTCACCAGCAACGGAACAAAGCTGGACAGAGAATGACTTTGACGAGTTGAGAGAAGAAGGCTTCAGACAATGAAACTACTCCGAGCTACAGGAGGAAATTCAAACCAAAGGCAAAGAAGTTGAAAACTTTGAAAAAAATTTAGACAAATGTATAACTAGAATAACCAATACAGAGAAGTGCTTAAAGGAGCTGATGGAGCTGAAAGCCAAGGCTTGAGAACTACGTGAAGAATGCAGAAGCCTCAGGAGCTGATGCAATCAACTGGAAGAAAGGGTATCAGTGATGGAAGATGAAATGAATGAAATTAAGCGAGAAGGGAAGTTTAGAGAAAAAAGAATAAAAAGAAGTGAACAAAGCCTCCAAGAAATATGGGACTATGTGAAAAGACCAAATCTACGTCTGATTGGTGTACTTGAACGTGACGGGGAGAATGGAACCAAGTTGGAAAACACTCTGCAGGATATTATCCAGGAGAACTTCCCCAATCTAGCAAGGCAGGCCAGCATTCAGATTCAGGAAATACAGAGAATGCCACAAAGATACTCCTCGAGAAGAGCAACTCCAAGACACATAATTGTCAGATTCACCAAAGTTGAAAAGAAGGAAAAAATGTTAAGGGCAGCCAGAGAGAAAGGTCGGGTTACCCACAACGGGAAGCCCATCAGACTAACAGCGGATCTCTCAACAGAAACTCTACAAGCCAGAAGAGAGTGGGGGCCAATATTCAACATTCTTAAAGAAAAGAATTTTCAACCCGGAATTTTATATCCAGCCAAGCTAAGCTTCATAAGTGAAGGAGAAATAAAATACTTTACAGACAAGCAAATGCTGAGAGATTTTGTCACCACCAGGCCTGCCCTAAAAGAACTTCTGAAGGAAGCGCTAAACATGGAAAGGAACAACCGGTACCAGCCACTGCAAAATCACGCCAAAATGTAAAGACCATCGAGACTAGGAAGAAACTACATCAACTAATGAGCAAAATAATCAGCTAACATCATAATGACAGGATCAAATTCACACATAACAATATTAACTTTAAATGTAAATGGACTAAATGCTCCAGTTAAAAGACACAGACTGGCAAATTGGATAAAGAGTCAAGACCCATCAGTGTGCTGTATTCAGGAAACCCATCTCATGTGCAGAGACACACATAGGCTCAAAATAAAGGGATGGAGGAAGATCTACCAAGAAAATGGAAAACAAAAAATTACAGGGGTTGCAATCCTAGTCTCTGATAAAACAGACTTTAAACCAACAAAGATCAAAAGAGACAAAGGCGGCCATTACATAATGGTAAAGGGATCAATTCAACAAGAAGAGCTAACTATCCTAAATATATATGCACCCAATACAGGAGCACCCAGATTCATAAAGCCAGTCCTGAGTGACCTACAAAGAGACTTAGACTCCTACACAATAATAATGGGAGACGTTAACACCCCACTGTCAACATTAGACAGATCAACGAGATAGAAAGTTAACAAGGATACCCAGGAATTGAATTCAGCTCTGCACCAAGCAGACCTAATAGACATCTACAGAATTCTCCATCCCAAATCAACAGAATATACATTTTTTTCAGCACCACACCACACCTGTTCCAAAATTGACCACATACTTGGAAGTAAAGCTCTCCTCAGCAAATGTAAAAGAACAGAAATTGTAACAATTGTCTCTCAGACCACAGTGCAATCAAAGTAGAACTCAGGATTAAGAAACTCACTCAAAACCACTCAACTACATGGAAAATGAACAACCTGCTCCTGAATGACTACTGGGTACATAACGAAATGAAGGCAGAAATAAAGATGTTCTTTGAAACCAATGAGAACAAAGACACAACATACCAGAATCTCTGGGACACATTCAAAGCAGTGTGTAGAGGGAAATTTATAGCACTAAATGCCCACAAGAGAAAGCAGGAAAGATCCAAAACTGACACCCTAACATCACAATTAAAAGAACTAGAAAAGCAACAGCAAACACATTCAAAAGCTAGCAGAAGGCAAGAAATAACTAAAATCAGAGCAGAACTGAAGGAAATAGAGACACAAAAAACCCTTCAAAAAATTAATGAATCCAGGAGCTGGTTTTTTGAAAGGATCAACAAAATTGATAGACTGCTAGCAAGACTAATAAAGCAAGAGAAGAATCAAATAGACGCAATAAAAAATGATAAAGGGGATATCACCATCGATCCCACAGAAATACAAACTACCATCAGAGAATACTACAAACACCTCTACGCAAATAAACTAGAAAATCTAGAAGAAATGGATAAATTCCTTGACACATGCACTTTCCCAAGACTAAACCAGGAAGAAGTTGAATCTCTGAATAGACCAAAAATAGGATCTGAAATTGTGGCAATAATCAATAACTTACCAACCAAAAAGAGTCCAGGACCAGATGGATTCATAGCTGAATTCTAACAGAGGTACAAGGAGGAACTGGTACCATTCCTTCTGAAACTATTCCAATCAATAGAAAAAGAGGGAATCCTCCCTAACTCATTTTATGAGGCCAGCATCATCCTGATACCAAAGCCGGGCAGAGATACAACAAAAAAAGAGAATTTTAGACCAATATCCTTGATGAACATTGATGCAAAAATCCTCAATAAAATACGGGCAAACCGAATCCAGCAGCACATCAAAAAGCTTATCCACCATGATCAAGTGGGCTTCATCCCTGGGATGCAAGGCTGGTTCAATATATGCAAATCAATAAATGTAATCCAGCATATAAACAGAGCCAAAGACAAAAACCACATGATTATCTCAACAGATGCAGAAAAAGCCTTTGACAAAATTCAACAACCCTTCATGCTAAAAACTCTCAATGAATTAGGTATTGATGGGACATATCTCAAAATAATAAGAGGTATCTATGACAAACCCACAGCCAATATCATACTGAATGGGCAAAAACTGGAAGCATTCCCTTTGAAAACTGGCACAAGACAGGGATGCCCTCTCTCACCACTCCTATTCAACATAGTGTTGGAAGTTCTGGCCAGGGCAATTAGGCAGGAGAAGGAAATAAAGGGTATTCAATTAGGAAAAGAGGAAGTCAAATTGTCCCTGTTTGCAGACGACGTGATTGTATATCTAGAAAACCCCATTGTCTCAGCCCAAAATCTCCTTAAGCTGATAAGCAACTTCAGCAAAGTCTCAGGATACAAAATCAATGTACAAAAATCACAAGCATTCTTATACACCAATAACAGACAAACAGAGAGCCAAATCATGAGTGAACTCCCATTCACAATTGCTTCAAAGAATATAAAATACTTAGGAATCCAACTTACAAGGGACGTGAAGGACTTCTTCAAGGAGAACTACAAACCACTGCTCAATGAAATAAAAGAGGATACAAACAAATGGAAGAACATTCCATGCTCATGGGTAGGAAGAATCAATATCATGAAAATGGCCAACTGCCCAAGGTAATTTATAGATTCAATGCCATCCCCATCAAGCTACCAATGACTTTCTTCACAGAATTGGAAAAAACTACTTTAAAGTTCATATGGAACCAAAAAAGAGCCCGCATCACCAAGTCAATCCTAAGCCAAAAGAACAAAGCTGGAGGCATCATGCTACCTCACTTCAAACTATACTACAAGGCTACAGTAAACAAAACAGCATGGTACTGGTACCAAAACAGAGATATAGATCAATGGAACAGAACAGAGACCTCAGAAATAACGCCGCATATCTACAACTATCTGATCTTTGACAAACCTGACAAAAACAAGCAATGGGGAAAGATTCCCTATTTAATAAATGGTGCTGGGAAAACTGGCTAGCCATATGTAGAAAGCTGAAACTGGATCCCTTCCTTACACCTTATACAAAAATTAATTCAAGATGGAATAAAGACTTAAACATTAGACCTAAAACCATAAAAACCCTAGAAGAAAACCTAGGCATTACCATTCAGGACATAGGCATGGGCAAGGACTTCATGTCTAAAACACCAAAAGCAATGGCAACAAAAGACAAAATTGACAAATGGGATCTAATTAAACTAAAGAGCTTCTGCACAGCAAAAGAAACTACCATCAGAGTGAACAGGCAACCTACAAAATGGGAGAAAATTTTCGCAACCTACTCATCTGACAAAGGGCTAATATCCAGAATCTACAATGAACTCAAAGAAATTTACAAGAAAAAAACAAACAACCCCATCAAAAAGTGGGCAAAGGATATGAACAGACACTTCTCGAAAGAAGACATTTATGCAGCCAAAAGACACATGAAAAAATGCTCACCATCACTGGCCATCAGAGAAATGCAAATCATAACCACAATGAGATACCATCTCACACCAGTTAGAATGGCAATCATTAAAAAGTCAGGAAACAACAGGTGCTGGAGAGGATGTGGAGAAATAGGAACACTTTTATACTGTTGGTGGGACTGTAAACTAGTTCAACCATTGTGGAAGTCAGTGATTCCTCAGGGATCTAGAACTAGAAATACCATTTGACCCAGCCATCCCATTACTGGGTATATACCCAAAGGACTATAAATCATGCTGCTATAAAGACACATGCACACATAGGTTTATTGCGGCACAATTCACAATAGCAAAGACTTGGAACCACCCAAATGTCCAACAATGATAGACTGGATTAAGAAAATGTGGCACATATACACCACGGAATACTATGCAGCCATAAAAAATGATGAGTTCATGTCCTTTGTAGGGACATGGATGAAATTGGAAATCATCATTCTCAGTAAACTATCACAAGAACAAAAAACCAAACACCGCATATTCTCACTCATAGGTGGGAATTGAACAATGAGAACTCATGAACACAGGAAGGGGAACATCACACTCTGGGGACTGTTGTGGGGTGGGGGGAGGGGGGAGGTATAGTTTTAGGAGATATACCTAATGCTAAATGACGAGTCAACGGGTGCAGCACACCAGCATGGCACATGTATACATATGTAACTAACCTGCACATTGTGCACATGTACCCTAAAACTTAAAGTATAATAATAATAAATTAAAAAAAAATAAAAATAAAAAGATGTATTATATACACCATGGAACATTATGCAGCCATAAAAAATGAAATTATGTTCTTTGCAGCACATGGTTGCAGCCAGACCATTATCCCAAGCAAAGTAATGCAGGAACAGGAAACCATATACTGCATGTTCTCACTTATAAGTGGGAGCTGAACATTGAGTACCCATGGACATAAAGATGAGAGCAATGGACACTGGAGACTGCTAGAGGAGAGAGGGAGGGAAGGGGGTGAGGGACTGCTTAATGTGTGCTGTGCTCACTGCCTGGGTGATGGGATCATCTGCACTCTAAATCTCAGTGTTATGATCCAGTGTTCCCATGTCGCAAACCTGCACATGTACCCCCTGAATCTAAAATAAAAGTTGATTTTTTAAAAAGATGGTATATTATATAATAAAGCAATTTGTCTAGTTATAATAAAAAGCACAAATTAATGGTCAATTCATAAAGAATTTCATTGAAATGTGCCTTGAATAATTTTGCTTTAGTTTAGTTCCAGATGACAGAATGGAATCTGTGGCCAAGTGTATTTCAGTTATCCATCTTCAATTTGTGTTCATACAAGTCACAGAGAGAAAGATGCTGTGTAAGTTCCATAAGGCCTGTCTTGGCAGTTTCTATACATAGTGATTTGCTGCCAGTGCAAGGCAAAAGAATGAGGTGCAAGAATACATTTTCAAACTCTGGTAAAAATGCCAGTGGTACTGATGATTTGGTCTAAGATAAACAATTCTTATTCAGTTGTTTGGGCAAACACTCAGCTTTCAGGTTTGCTTAGGAAAAAATCTAAATATTAAAGAATTCCTAAAATAAAATCAAATTATGATAATATCATAATTATCATAGTAGTAATAATAACCCTCATTGAAGCCCCAGCATGATTACTACACTGAAACCATGAAGTAGTTTACTGTATGTATTTTCAAAAATGCATCATTAATCATTTGAGAGATACTCAAGGTAGGGAAACCAAATCTTTATGCATTTCTTTTATTCTTATAATACTTAATTCACTAATTTGAACATAGTAGGCTATCAATAACTATTGAATGGCTGCAACATCACCTGTTCTGTAAAGCTAGGCATACTTCTGAGTACACACTTCTCTAATAACGAGATTGGTTTACATGTGCAATCTCCTATAGAGTAGGAACTCTTTAGGGGAACTTCCCTCAGCTTGCTTTAAAAAGAGATTAATACTGTTTCAAGGATTTATAGTCTCAAAAGGAAATACCATAATATATCCTCTATTTTTTACCTGCAAGTATATTCTCTATTTTGTACCTGCAAGTAGGTAATAAATAAGTGATTGGAAACTGGATTAAATGCTCAATGCTATAGGAATCAGAGAGAATTTGGAAAGTCAAAAGAGGTATAGGGTTCCCAGTCAAGATGATGGGCCCAGCTAAAGCTCCAGCCTGCATTTCCACCTTAGGGTCTCTCAATGCTTGCATGGAGGTAGGGGCCCTAAGATTTGGTTAATTTAGGTTAACTGGACTCCTTGTGAAAAATTAAGATCCAGAAAAGGGCAGAATCATTGAAAAAAACTACCTAAGAGAGCCCAGTAATAGGCAACAATTTGCTTCTGGGGAGGAGAAATAAGAATGATGTTGGAGTATATAGAAAGCTATATCAAACACAATCAGTAACACTTTAAAATTTCTTAAAATTTATCTTACTTTATTTTTTTTTAAGCTTAAAACAACAGAAATTTCTTGTCTTGTCATACTAGAGGCTGGAAGTCTGAATCAAAGTGTCAGTGGGGCCATGTTCCCTCTTAAATTTGTAGGGGAGAATCCTTCCTTGCTTCTTCTAGCTTCTGGTGTTTGCCAGCAATCCTTGGGATTCCTTGGATTACAGATATATTACTCTAATCTTTGCATCTGTCATCACTTGGCTTTCTCCTCCCTGTGTCTTCACGTCTTCCCTCTGAGTGTCTGTGTCCAAATTTTCCCTTTTTATAAGGGCCTCCTTATATTGGATTAGGAGCCCACCCTACTCCAATAAGACCTCTTGTTAACTTTTGTTACACCTACAACAACCTTATTTTCAAATAAGGTCACATTCTTAGGTACTGGAAGGCTAGAACTTCAACATATGAATTCTGGGGTGGTGGTGAGGTGGGATGTAATTCCACCTTTAACGAGGAGAAAGTCAGAATTCTGAGGAAAGAAGCTGCTAACTTGTAGCCAGAGAATTGACCAAGAACCTTAGTAATTTTGCACATTTTCTTCTGTTTTCTTTTAGGCTCTGAGTCAATACAAGTAGGAAGTTCAACTGGTTCCCTGGGTGTTCATTCCTGGTTGGAGAGCTGTTTGGGAGGCTGGGAAGGTCCATTAGAAGCATAATTCTATTCCAGAGGTGGCTTGGCAGATGGAGCATATCATGGGTAAAGGCAGTGGTAAAGTCTTGGTGAGGCAAAAATAAAAGAGGTACATGAATCCAGACACAATTTGAAATAGATCTTTCTGTTCCAGGTTAATTTCTCAGCATGTCACAGAAAGCAATTCCTACTAGACCTGAAGAAAGTGGCTTCTCTCTTAACAGAATGTTATCTTCTTCTAGAGAGTAATATGTTTTTATTAAATAAAAAGCATCTAATAGTACACAAGTGTTTGCTACATTATTTTCTGTATTTTTAATAGCCTAAATATGCATCCATTATATAACAGAATGTTTTAATGCAGAAAGTAAGACTTGAAGCCAACCTTAAAGGACAAGTAGGATTTGGAAATGCAGTGATCAGGAAAGTAGCATTATACTGTTAAGCACAATATACGCATCTACCTGGCATACCTGGGAGACTAGAAAAACTCAGTACACCTGGTCATCCTGAGAAACAGAGGCTTCCTTTCATCCGTGGCCTGTTTTCATCTCTGCCAGACTACAGAAGCTGCCATTAAAGATGAGACACTGTATTGGAGACTCTGTCTACTACCCTTCCCTTGCAAGGCCAAAGATGGATTCCTTAGTTTTCTCAAATGGTGAATGAGTAACCTCTGTCTCACCAGCAGTGTTTGTCAGGCAGGGTGAGCTGGCACACAGTGTGCCTGAATCCCCAGAGGCAGGATTTGGAGCCAATTGTCTATGCTGGGAACCCACAAGCCCCCTCAAGGGGGTTGTGTACACACTGCAGAACTCAATTCCCAGAGGCATGATTAACTTGAGGCTTGTAACTGTGGAAACAGTATTACAGTTTCAGACTGAAATGGTAAATGGGAAGTGAAATGGGAACTAAAGATTTAAAAATCACTGAAAAAGGCAACTTTGCAAAAATATGAAAGCTGTACAAAAGCTGTACATTTGAAACAGAAATTTAGACTACCCAACTATAGTGAAGAAGTGAGTTGAAGTAATTAGTTGAAATTGAAATCATCTGGTTCATTGCATCAAAACATTTGAATGATTTTCCTCAGTTCTCTGCTTGTCTGAGAAAAGCTGGATTTTGTAGAGCATGCACAGATTTCTGACTCTTCCCCATAAAAATAGTGATGCTAAAATATAGTACAAACAGATATCTATGTATTTGAAGGCCTAATATATGCCAGGCATTATATATGAGTGCAATTTGAGAAAAAGAAAGGATTCTAGATAAAAATGGGAATTTTATTTCAGACAAAATAAAAAATATATGACTTTATATAGTTAGAAGATATATGCTACCTCCTTCTGTCTGGATAGATGCTAGAAATGCACAGCCTCTCCTCATCCTATTATGTGAAACCATAACAAGTATGACAGGATATAAATTTTCACAGCAGTAACAAGGCAACAGCTTTCAAGTTGCTGTACAACATTCTGCGATATATTTTTGTTTGGATGCTAAACCCATTTGGTCATTTTTAACATTTAACATACAAATGATTTAACATTTTAATTTCAAAGAGATTAAAATGTTCTTTCCAAATGCAAATGGTAAGCCACTTTACAACAGTACATAATTTCATAGAGTTACTACATAAGAACAATTGAGTATTTTTATTGTTATTACAAATATATAAACATACAGAAAAAACATACAAAATTCAAAGTCTTCCAATTCTACCTATATTTAAATATACCAGGCCTCTGTCTTGTTAGATTCCTTTGTCAGTTCCCCACTACTGTTCCCCTCCACAAAGGAAATAATATTTTATGACAAGACTTTCTTTCTTTGGTTCCCAGACTGTCCACCAAAGTAGTTAAAGCCTATGGGCCTTAGGTACAAGTTGAGGTGATAGGATTGATGAAATGTAGCACTTTCAGGTACCAGCATTATGTTTGAATTATAAGTATGTGATTAGCTTTTAGCTATTTATTTTGTAAAGGATAATTGAATTATTTTTGCCTAGCAGGGAGGCAGTTAGTCCCCTCCTGAAGTTATTAGGCAGCCTGGACTTTCATTTGGTCATACCCAGTAAGAGTCAGGACCACACCCAGTGGTCCAGTTAGTGGGCAAAGGACAAATGTCCATCTTTCTTCCTAAGAGATGCCTCAAGGCTCCTTAGAGAAGTGCTGTCTCAATTCCCAACAGCCACAAAAGGACCAAAGCTTCCTTTTGGACCAAAAGCTTGCTAGAAGAAATCCATCCACTTCTAACTCAAATGTGCCCCCCAACCCTTTTTTTTTTAACCTGGAATCTTTAACTCCATTCTTGGCCAAGGAGTTGGAATGGCAAGAGATTTCCAGGAATAAAAGCAAAAGGTTCTCTGTTTATGCCTTTGAACTGAGTAGAGAACGCTGACCTGTTAGAGACATTTTATGCTTTCACCCCTTCCCTTCTCACAATTCTCTGCACTTGTCCTCTGCTATTAGTTACAGATTAATTATTTTTATTTCTATATTACACATTTCCACCTTTCTCATGGTCTTACACCTGCTTCCCTCTTCCTGAATGTCCCACTTACACTTCAAACTCAACATTACCCAAACTGAACTTACCTTTCTCCTTCTTCCTATCCACAATCAAATTTGCTTCTCTTTCTACATTCACATAATGGAATGAGCTATCATATTTGGGTATCATCCCGACTCTTCTTTCTTTATTCTTTACACCACCACCACGACATCCAGTGAATAGTCAAGTTCTGTCTATTCTACCTGCTAAATAGTCCTTGAATGTTGAACCCATATTTTCTTTATCTATATTTCCATCATTTTAGTTCAGATCATCACCATGACTAACTGGACTATTTGGCTAGAATCCTAATGGGTTGCCAGTTTTCTGTGGTCTCTAATTAATTCCCCATATGGACATCATAGTTATCTGTGTAAAATGCTATCCCAATCAAGCTACTATTCTGTTCAAAATACTCTGAAAAAATCTCATTTTCTAATGAATGATCTTAACTCCTCCATTCACCAAATTTGCCCTGTCCTTCCAGTCTTAACCTCTTACACCTTTCCACCACACATGTCATACTCCAGGCATCCCTAAGGTTTATTAAACATGCCATGTCCTTTTCACATTGTTAGCGCACACCGGGATCAGTGCTAGGGGCTCTTTCTTCTCCTTGGAGACTCAGCCTTTTTGCTACCTGGAATCTTTAACTCCAGGTAGAAGAGTTAAAGATTCCAATTCAAGATCCATGGTTGGCAAAGACCATTCTGCCAGCCTTCCCTGACTTCTCCCCCTTCTTTTGTTGTTCCTTTCAGTTCTCCAGTAGTACTGTGTTGGACTTTAGGATTTTTTGTTTACATTTTTATAAAAATGTCATGCTTATTACAACAAAATTTAAGGTACAGATGGATATATGGTAAAAAGTGAAAATATGCTTCCCCTTCCTAGCCCTTCATCCTAATCCGCAGAAATAATCCTGCTAACCATATCTTGTGTATACTTCCAAATATTTTCTATGTGTACATGGTATAAAACAATATGTATATATCATACATAATATATATTACTATTAAATACAAATAGGATTGAACTATACATTTTGTTCCACAACTTGCTTTTTTCACTAATATATCTGAGATAGAGTTCTATATTTATAATATATACCATCATCAAATATCATGCTTTGATTCTTATAATTTCTTATTTTTAACAGATTAGTTTATTCCATTCACTTCTGTTATTTCAACAGATTTAGATGTGTTTTATTGCTTTGCTATTTTATGTTTTTTTGTTTTTATTCTTCCTTGGTTTTCTGTCTTTTGCTATATTGTCTGTTTTTAGTTGTTATTCTACATTTTTTCTTCCCATGTCTATATTATAACATAAAATAAGGCATGAAAATATATTTAAGCCATTATTTCTTGATTTATAAAATTTAGGAAGTATTTATTAACTTCTGCTATGAAAGATGAGAAAATATGCCACTCTTCCCACCAATTCTCATAACCTCCCAGTTTTTGTAATTATATTATTATTTCTATATTGTTATATCTAATGCTATTGACATTATATTCTGTGTATTAGAGACTACCCAGAATTCTCCATGATCAAGATAAGTAAAAGTAAAGTGATACCTTCAGTCTTACGCAGTTAACAATGAGGATGCCTTCTCCACCCTCTCTTTCTTCCTTCTGTCTGCAAGCTGGATGGGTCCAGGGTCACCCTAAAACTGCATTAAAAATGGTGGAGCTACACAAAGGAAGACATCTGAGCCCCCAGATCACTGCGTGGAGAAGAGGGTCCCACTCAGAAACCCACATTAAATAGTGACATGAGTTAAAAACAAATTTTTATTGTGTTAAGCCACTAAGATATGGGTATGTGTTAACACTGTTTATGCCAATGAATATATGCTGAAACCATAATTTCTACAGTTCTATAGTGATAGTTATATATTCAAATGGATTCAATGCTCATGACCAGTCTTTTATTTTTAGAAGGATGTCACCATTCTTGAATTCTATATTTTGATTTATCTGTTTTTCAGTTGGGTTTCATTTCAAATCGCTTCTTTCAAGTGAGGCTCATGAGTGCTCTATTTCCTGAGGCATTATATGTTTGTGAATATATTTGTGGTGCTTTTAACAATAAATAACAGCTTGGCTGGATATTAAACCCCTGATTCAATCTTTATTTCTATTTTTTTTTCTCTTTGAACTCTGCTGCTATTTTCCAATGCCTTCTGGCATTGAGAGTTGCTGTGAAAAATACTGTGGCCTGAGGCTAGTCTGTCTTGCCTTTCCCACCCCTCATCTCATAGAAGTCTTTATCTTTAAAGTTAGAAAACTTCACCAGGATATTTCTTTGGGTTGATAGTGCCTGTAATGTGGTATGCCGTTATAGTCTACAGATTCCAGAGCCTATTTCAGTAATATTTTCTCCTATTATGCATTTGAATGATTTTTCATCTAAACATTTTGGTCTCATCTTCAAAGACACTAATTATGCAACTATATATTCTTCATCTTTCTATCTCAGCACATTATTTTATGTGCTTATTTTCTCTAATCACTTGTATGTTTTTATTCAGCTAAAATTCTCTGAGGTCTGCACTCTGTCCTTATGTTTTTTCAGCAGAATCTTTTCTATTTCTTTTGTTTTAAATGTGATTTCAATTTCTCTAATGTTTTTTTTTACTGCCATCATTTCACTTCTGAATTCTGTCAATTTATTCTTTGTGATTGTTGTAGACAAGACATGGACTGTCTTGATTGCATCAGACAGGAGATGACACAAAACTTGTGTTTATAGTTTCTTGGTCTTTTGCATTCATTTTTGTTTTTGTTTGTTTTTTAGACAGAGTTTTCACTCTTGTTGCCTAGGCTGGAGTGCAGTGGCACGATCTCAGCTCACTGCAACCTCCACCTCCCAGGTTCAAGTGATTCTCCCGCCTCAGCCTCCCAAGTAGCTGGGATTACAGGCATGCACCACCACACCCAGCTAATTTTTTTGTATTTTTAGTAGAGACAGGGTTTCAACCACGTTGGCCACTTGGTCTTGAACTCCTGACCTCAGGTGATCCGCCCACCTCAGCCTCCCAAAGTGCTGGGTTTACAGGCGTGAGCCACCCTGCCCAACCCTCCATTCATTTTTAAATCTTTTTTTTTTTTTTTCTTTCAGGAGTTCAGCTTCTGTTTCTCTCTTAAAATCCTGCAACAACTTTCTATCCTGTTTAGAGTTAAATTCCATCATGTGGGCTCTCAAGGCCCTGCTTTATCTGGCTCCTATTAACTGTGAGCTTCATCTCATAGACCTTTTTCAAGGCACTCTGTCCTTTTTCCAGTTCCTCAAGCCAGCTATGCTCATTTTTACCTTATGGGCTTGGCATGCACCTGCCTGCTGCCTGGGGAAGTGTTCAAGATTATTGGGTGGTGCCTCCTTCTGGTTGTTCAGCTCGGTCTTAACATCACTTCCTCAGAGAGGCCTTCCCAGCCTGACCACTCTCTATCAGATCACCCTGCTTTCTTTTCCTCATAGCATTTATCACTATCTGACAGTTTCTTGTTTACTTGTTTATTGTATATTCTCACTTTACAAAATGTGGGCTCCATTGGTGCGGGTCCATGTCAGTCTGGTTCTCTGCTGTCTCCTCAAGACCCAAAACAGTGCCTGGCACATAGTAGGTATTTAATAAATTCTTGTAAAATGAAGGAACACATGAGTCATGATAACCAACACTGTAGTTACCAAGTGAAAGCATCTGAGTTATATGATAGGCTTGGAAAGGGTAACAAACCCAGGCCTCGTGCTTGAGGAAGGTATGTTCAATTTAGTTTACCTGTAATACCTAATCATTAAAAAACACACAGAATTGATTTAGCATAATTTGTATTCTATTTAGAATTAACATGTCTCTGACACTTTGACTACTATAACATTTAAGAGGGAGCAAAATCAAAAGTTAGTCTCATCAACTTTTTGAAACTCACTTTTTTTTTTTTTAAGACAGAGTCTCGCTCTGTTGCCAGGCTGAAGTGCAGTGGTGCAATCTTGGCTCACTGCAACCTCCGCCTACTGGGTTTAAGTGATTCTCCTGCCTCAGCCTCCCGAGTAGATGGGACTGCAGGTGCCCGCCACCATGCCCAGCTAGTTTTCGTATTTTTAGTAGAGACGGGGTTTCACCATGTTGGCCAGGATGGTCTTGATCTCTTGACCTTGTGATCCACCTGCCTTGGCCTCCCAAAGCGCTGGGATTACAGGCGTGAGCCACTGCACCTGGCTGAAACTCACTTTTAGTAGGCAATATCAATATATATTTTATGCTATATTGGTTGTAAATTAAATTCAAATGTATCCAGTGTTAGTGCCCATTTCTTGGTAATTTGAGAGTTTTAAAATTTACCTTTCTAATTATATAGTTAATGCATATGATAGAAAATTTATAAAATATAATGATTAGAAAAAAGAAATAAGGATTATTTATTTTGGGATAATCATGTATCCCATCACGCTGGGATAAGGTTGTGGTATTTTTAGTGTTAGTTTTTTTCCTGATACATAGGTTATATATATCATATAATGTACATATGCATATATGAATATATATGCATATACCTACACATATCATACAAATATTTATCCATTTTCATGTGATGCTATAACTACCACATTTCTATGGCTTTCCCCTTTACATGATATTGGGAGGAAATGCTTTATTCCCCAGCCCTGATGTTTTATTCTGTGTGGTAGCAGTTTTAATATAATAATATTCCTGGATTCTTCCTCTTGTCAGTCTCCCTAGAAGAGGAAAAGTGACTTGTGTAACTGGTGCATTTGGAATAAGATAGTGGGGCATGTGCAGGTCTGTGCTTTCCTTTAGGATTCTGCCTACCTGTAAAGACCATATAATCTGGTCTGTTCTTTGCAAGTGGTAAAGTAAGCCCAAAGGCATTGTCCCTGCAGGAGAGTGCTGTGGTTTACCATTGCTGCCTGTGACTGGTGAGAAAATTTGCTTGAAGGAGGTGCAGTCATAAAAGAATATCACTTTCGTGATTTGAAGTCACAAATGCAGCAGCTCTATCAGCAATATAATTGACATTTTGATCTCTGTAGGCCCAGTTCCTACGTCTTTTTCAGGCAGGAGAGACAGCTGCTATGTCTTGGTCCACTAAAACACCAACATATGGCACCAAAAAGTCAGACAAAAAAATGGGCTGACAACTTTACAACTTTTCTTGTTAGGTAGCCTTATTTCAGCACAGATATCTATGCTTGTAGACAGGTCAGAGAAACATCATGGTAAATGGTGTTATGGAAGAAGTCAGGAGTAGAGAGGTTCCAAAAGAGGTTTCTCAACAGAGCCAGATACTGCTGGAGGTTAAGAAAAATGTGAACAGAAAAAGGCTGTTTGATGTGTTAATGAGTAGATAATTGGAAGCCTTCAAGTCCTGATTCTCAAAATGTGGTTCAAGGTGCATTGGGAGGGCATGTGATCCTCACTGCAACTCACATGAAAAGTGCAAGTTCCCTGTGCAGCCATATAGGTGCATTCTGTACAACTGCAGACTTTTTTATGCCAAAGCGTTATTGAGTAAGTTTTTAAGGGTTGGTACAATTTGGTCTTAGTAAACTAAAATTAGTATGTTGTCAGTATATTGACCCTTTTAAGAGGTGAAAGAGTGAGGTATAATGAAGAAATAGGCAGAACACGAAGACCAATTTTGATCAGAACAAAAGGATAAAGACAGGATGGTAAACAGAGAGAATTCATTTTTTCCCCATAGTTTTAAATAACTATGACCTTTATACTACAGCAATAGTGTCTTAGATGACTTACTCTTCCTTCTTAAGCTCCCTGCATTACTGATGAGCTACTCCTTTTAACACATGAAATAACAATACTAACAGTATTGGTAAGAATATGTTGAGACATTTCATAAACAGTTGCAATACCAACTTCATGAGTTTTTCATATCCTTGCTCAGTTGTTGTTATGATCAATTGATAAGCTAATTAAAACAATTAACAAAGAGCTAAATGGGTATTGATAGTGAGTGAGAAAAGATACCCAAATTTCTTGTTTAAAAAGGGTAAGATCTTGTAGACAAGGACAATATTCAGGAGCTTCTTGAATTTTGTGTTCACACATTTAAAAGTGCTTGCCTGTTTTCTCAGTTGCTAGGGAGCCTGAGCACAGCTTAACAAAATAAATGTGTTTGTGTGTTCAGATGTTGCAGGTAGGTGAGCGAATACCAATCAAAAACTGCCACATTCGATTCCTCAAGGATCTAGAACTAGAAATACCATTTGACCCAGCCATCCCATTACTGGGTATATACCCAAAGGATTAAATATCATGCTGCTATAAAGACACATGCACACGTATGTTTATTGTGGCACTATTCACAATAGCAAAGACTTGGAACCAAGCCAAATGTCCATCAATGATAGACTGGATTAAGAAAATGTGGCACATATACACCATGGAATACTATGCAGCCATAAAAAAGGATGAGTTCATGTCCTTTGTAGGGACATGGATGAAGCTGGAAACCATCATTCTCAGCAAACTATCACAAGGACAAAAAACCAAACACCGCATGTTCTCACTCATAGTGGGAATTGAACAATGAGAACACTTGGACACAGGAAGGGAAACATCACACACCGGGGCCGTTGTGGGGTGGGGGGAGTGGGGAGGGATAGCATTAGGAGACACACCTAATGTAAATGACGAGTTAATAGGTGCAGCACACCAACATGGCACATGTATACATATGTAACAAAGCTGTACGTTGTGAACATGTACCCTAGAACTTAAAGTATAATAAAAAAATAAACAAATAAAAAACTACCACATTATCAAATAATAGTTAAGATAGGGGTTAGTAAGGCAGACTTGGGTTCAAACCTGGGTTGAGTGGCCTTGGTCAAATTTCTTCTCAGTTGAAGAAAATGAGGCTCAGTTTCTTCACCTGGCACATGGGAATGGTAACTGCATCCCTTTCATAGTCTTTAATGTGGGCCCTACATGAGCTATTGATAAGGGATCATTGGGGTCCGATTTTCCGGCCAGAAACCTCTGTGGCTGGTGGCACCTTTGCCTGAGTTCTTGTCCTGCATTCAGGAAGAATGAGGTATGCAGACAAGTGAAGGGTGAACAAGACAAAGATGAGCTTTATTAAGTGTTAGAACAGCTCAGAGGAGACCCACTGTTGATAGCTCTTCTCTGTAGGCTGGTCATCTGTGGAGTGTTCAGCTCTCAGCAGAGAGGAGGCTCTGGAGAGGGTAGCTCCTCTCTGCTACTGGTTGTGCAGACATCTACTGCTCTCAGCAGAGAGGAGGCCCTGGAGAAGATTGTTCCTCTCTGTAGCTGGTAGTCCCATCTTCCCAGGTCTCTGAAACTCTCAGCAGAGAGGGTAGCTCCTCTCTGTAGCTGATCATTCTGTCCTCCTACTTTCAGCAGAGAGGATAGCTCCTGTCTGCAGCTGGTTGTTGCCTCTCCCTCTTCATCTCTTCACCCTCTGTCTGCTCTGGCTGAGGCCTTTATGGGCCTCAGAGGGTGGGGAAGTGCATGCTGACTGGTTCATGGGCAGCCATGGGTGGGCCCAAGAAAAAGCACCATGAGCTCCTGCTCTGGGTCTGCAGGACTGGCGGCCCCGGACCCCAGGCTTTACTGGAGACCTGCCCTTTTCTGCCCAGGAGCCTGTCTGCCTCCCATGGCTATCCATGGTGCCCAGGCTGCTGGCACCAAGAGACACCTGCAGTTCAGCACCCAGCTGCCCTTAGTCCCCTTTTAGCTTCCCTTCTTTTTGGCACCCAAAGTCTGGAGGGTCTAAGGCTGTGTGGGGGGGACGGGGGGGGGGGGCGGGGGGCGGGGGTTGGCACGTCAGCACTGCCCTGAGCCTGTGCACACAGCTGGGGCTGTGACAGAACCTGGGCTCAGCCCCAACCCTGCTCCCAGATTAGAGCGGGTGCCCGGAGTAGGGAGAAGCCCGGCAACAGAGACAGGCACTCCAAGCTTGCAAAGGTAAGAATGCAGGGATGCCTGGGTCTGCGGTTTGGGTGGCTGCAGCTGAGGGCAGAGGGAGCAGGGTTCCTGCTTGCTCGGTGGAGCGGGAGGCCTAGATCCGCAGCCCTGACTTGGGCAGCTGCAGCCTGGCCCAGGAGGGCGGGGCTTCTGCCTACTCCTGTCTCCGGAGAGCACAGGGGTACCCAGGTTGCAGTGGTGGCCTGGACACCTTGCAGTTGCACCTGGGGAGCTCCCACCTGCCAACTTGGAAGGGGCAGGGCTCCCGCTTATCCCAGTTCCGCAGGCTCCATGGAGCAAGGCACCTGGCCATGCCCCCTGGCAGCCTGGGGTGGGGGCTCCAGATCCTTGCTGGGCCTGGGCTAGTAGCGGGGTTGGGTCGATGCTGCCGAGAGCTCTCCCTGTCTCTCCGGAGCTCCCCCTGTGGCCCGGGAGCTCAGGGGCTAGCCAGAGCTCCCCCTTGTCCGGAGCACAACCTAGCCCCGCTCCAATGGGCGGTGCCCAGGGCAGCAGGCTGCTGTTGGGGGTTCTGTCTGCCTCCTCCCAGTACCCTCCCTGCAGCGGCCGGCATGATGGCAGCAGCCGCACCAGATGGCCGCCGCTGCCATCACTATTAGCTATAAAACAGCTAGAAGTGGCAGATAAAAAGTAACAGTAAACTAGGCTTAAAGATACGTGTTTACTGCACATCAATGTTGAAAATGAATAGTTTAGTGACTTGCTTCTTTGGATATTCAGTACAAGGGGAAGTGGAGTAACAGCTTTGTTGATGAAATGAAGGTCTTGAACATAGTAACCAGGATAGTAATAATATCAACATTAAAAAGTGGCCTGATTGGATTTGCAGTGTTTACAGTTACTGATTATTACACTTGTCAAGGAGCTTTCACCAAAAGTCAATCAAAAACTCTAGGCCCCAGGAAAAAGCAATGGTCAAAACAATTTGGTTTTGCTGAAATGCTATCATTTGTTTCTGGAGAGAATATATATATTCGAGGTTGAAGGTCAAAACGGCACATTTTAAGAACAGTTTTTGAATTCAAAATCTCTGCTTCCATTCACTCTCCATCCTGTCCCTTCACATTATGGCTTCTGTGAACATGCAACTCAAATCCTAAATCATGTAGAAGACTCTTTAAGGACATCTAATTAAATTCATATTCATCTTTCTTTTCTTCATTTTTACCACTACCAATTAAATATTAATATTGAAACAAAGCCAAATTTAATGATTTAGAATAGAATCTCTTATCCTACTCATTTGAAATGCTTTTTATAACCTAGTTTTTCCTTCATTAGTCTCTGCCCTCTATTTTAATATTACCTCTTAATTAGTGTCCCCTTTCACATCCCCTAATAACATTCTTGTGATAAAAACTTTTCTTTCATGTGCAGAGACCTAAAATTTAGAAATTACATGAAGAACTTTTGTATATTGTTCTGGAAACTTTAAATTCTATACAATTTTGAGTAAGCCCCTATCCTTATAAGCTGTTTTTAAAAATTATGAAATGGTGAAGGTCTCCACTCTTCCAAGTACAAATTCACTGGAGGAGATAAAGCTTCCATAAAATATAAAATAATACTCTATATACTTTTTATGATAGTATCATTTCTATGCTTTGTGACTTCATGTCCATTTATGCTTGTAAAAATATTTTTATAAAAGTTACAGACAGGTCTATGGATGAAATAGAAGAAAACAGATTTAACGCAAAGTTCCTCAGAGACAGGAGAAAAATCACGATTTAACCACAAATAGATATTATCCTGGGTACAGTAAACAAACATAATAGCAAGTTACTTGTTTTTAACAGAGTTTTCAATTCTCATTATTATATGTTTGAGTCAACAGAACTTTCCACCTTCCACTCCCCTGATTATGTTTTCTATCTTTTATTGGGATGTTATTTTTCCCAGTTATTCTTGTTCCTTGTTCTCTTTCAGCCTCCCCTCCCCTTCCTTCAGTATTTCTCATGCTGATGGCAGAACCCAGCAGCCAAAGCTTGAGTTGAAAATGACTGGAATCAGGGTCAGGCAGAAACCCTGTGTGGCCAAAAGCTCAACACTCAGGCAAATGTCTGAAAAACGAGGTCAGACAAATTCAGGTTTCTACATCCAGCCCTATCAAAATAACAAAACTCTAATCATCACAGCCCTGACCTCTTCATTCATGGAGCTTTTCTGAAAGGACAGAGACTTCTCACTACAGTGTTCAGTAAGAATTGAGACCATGATTACTTCGAAGAGGCTTTTAGGGATGCTTAGAAGTAGATATCCATGGGCAAAATAATAATCCTTCAGCCCCCAACGACTTTGCATTCTAGTCATAAACTGATACTTTCCTGAGCCATTGAATATATAAATACTACTCTTTTTTAAAAAAATTAAGAAATTAAAAGTCCTTACAGGTCATTGGAGCTTTATTTCAGATGTGGGTGAAATAAGGAGATGGGTACCTTTTATGTGCTTATATTCAATCAATAGGAATAGACTCTTTTGGGACTTTCAACTGATCACATGCAAAAGCTTAAGCTCTGAAGGGGCACAGAGACCACACAAGCTCTGAAACATCAGTCTGATCACAAGAGTAGTTTGAAGTCTAATGCTCCGTGGAAGTGTGTTATACATTTCCTTTCATTTTTATTCCCTCCATGAAGTAGTTTATGTTTCACTTCAATGGCTGTAATGGGATTCTGTGTTTTCACTTTTCTGGTGAACTATACAATTCTCCAAGAAACACGGTAAAATGAAATGAGGTTTATTGGCATGTGGTTTTAACATGCAAATAAAAACTCTATGATTTAATGTCTTTCAACTTTTTTCTTAGTAATCCTGATTTTTTCTGTCATGGGGGAATTAATAATTTTCTGCATGGTTAAAATGAATAAAGGCAGAGTGTGGAATAAGTTTTAGCTAGTGTTTTTGTGGTTCTTTCAACTGAAGAAGGATATGGAAAAATAACAATAAGCATATAATTTTCCACAATGTGTTATTTTAGTGATTAGCACCTTGAGAACTGTCTCATTTCTAGAAAAGAAAGATTCTGAGTGATGTTGTCTGCAGCATAACTTTGATGCACAACATGACTCTGCCTATTTCATCCTGTTATTACTTCTCAATTACCACAATAAGAGTCTTCTTTTTCTTTTAGGAAGATTGAGGTCCTGGTATTTATTAGGACTGCACTATGTCTGATCTAATTATTAACTGTTAGAAGTATATATATTGATCAGAAAAACAAGGGAAACTATTTATAGCTTATTCCTTTTTGTGACAGCCAAATATAGACATGGCTAATTTGATACAACACAATCCAGCATCAATTATCAACTGAGTAATTCGCAATAGCAATTTTTAAAATTAACTTGAAGAGTATGAATGCTGTAGGGCAAGGTATTTTAGTGTACAAGGCTAAGAAGCCACATCTTCTTTAAAGCTTAATTTCTTTTAAATGAAAGATTTAAACAGGTTAGTCCTCCTCATATTAAAAGCTATATAAGCAATAAACATTACAAGAAAATCACTAAAAAAACTTTCCTTTCCCTTTAGTCTAAAATCTTGCTGCTGAGCCCTAAATCCTGCTGGAAATTCTTGCCAAGCCATCATTTGGCATTATTACCTGCTCATGTCTCACACCAGAGTTGCACTTAAAAAAATAACATCAAATCTGGCAGCCCTATATTTTGTGGGAAACAGAGCTTGACTTCTTGAATCAAATAATTTATTTGGGCCATCTTGATGACTGTTTTCTGCAATATTGAATCAGACAGAAAGTTAATCCAATTTTATTATTAAGATGGATGTAAACACCAGATGCATTATTTTTTGACATTGTTATTCATCATCAAGGACCACAGATAAAATTAAAATTATCTATGACTTTGTACCAACACTAGAACCATTATATTGTTTTTAAATATTGAAACTAAATTCTTATTTTTAATCTTTGTTGTCCAGAACTTCGTACAATGCCTAGAACACAGTGGAAACTAAATACATACTTTTTGAAATAAAGTTAAGTGGAATAAACATTGGGCGAGGTTTTTCACCTCAGGATAGCACTTTCTATACAGATTAATAAATTTATACATCATTTTAAATAAGAGCCATATTTAAGCCAACATTAAAGAGTAAGGTTCTTGGTTTACTGATAAAAAACAACAAAGCTGAGTTCCCCAGCTGGGAATTTAGCTGATGATGTCTCATAGCACTGACTTTCACTCACTGGACCCTACATGCAATTATAACAGAAGATACTGACTAGTCTTTTAGTGAAGTCTGCACACAAACACAGGGTATCCGAGATGTCATTATTATAAAAATGTCTAGATTTAGTGAATTAACCCACTGTAACCCTCTCTCAATTTTCGTTTCTAGTTGTAGTCATCTTTTCCCTGATGTCAGTGTGGGAACCACACTAAACAAAACAAAGAAAATATCTGCTCCACTCAATGTCTTTTAAGAACTTTTGAGTTCTGTTCAAGTGAACATATTTATAATTCTACTCTCCTTAGGATGATTATGAACTTTACAAGAAACTCCTTATGATTATGGTAGATATTTACTGTTAAGATATTTTGAATGACTGCATAGCATTTTCTTTTAATTTCAGACTTTTAGGCTAAAGATATTTCCCTAGATATCACATAAGTTCTATGCTGACTCATTTTTCTACATTTACATGAACAGATATAGACATAAATCTTAATATTTACCCTCCTAAGCTCTTAACATTACACCGAGGACCCTCTGCCTATCATGAGAGATTATCTCACCTGTTTGGAAATTGACTGCATGTTGTGATGAAGTCGACTTCCATTTGCACTCTTCTTTGTGTTATTTCCTTACCATAGCAAGCAGGACTAATCGTAAAGCTTTCTAAGCTTGTGTGCTGAGATGAAGCCTCATTTAGTCACCTGGAGGTAACCGCCTGGTACTGTTTCTAGAGACACTGCGGATCCCAGGTCTACTGCAGCAGCCTGTGCTTTCCCAAGAGATATCCCAGGTGCTTGCTGTTTCAACAGTTTACTAGAATTGAAATTCATGGGGATTTTTTTTTTCCATGGGAATTAGCAAAACTGTAAGATGAGAACTTTATGGGCTGTGGACAAGGTGTGTTGCATGAGGAATGTTTTTATCTTCCTGACCAACATGGCACATGTATACATATGTAACAAACCTGCATGTTGTGCACATGTACCCTAAAACTTAAAGTATAATAATAATAAAATAAAATAAAAATATTAAATACTCATAAGCTAGTTTCATAATAAACATAAATTTCTTTTCAAAGTTCCACTATTTCCACCAAAATTTTCTTACTTGGTGCTAGGGTCTTTATAGATATCTTATTTTAGCAGTCAGCATGACTTAGAAACAAGGGTTATTATTAATTTTTATATTGATTGGCAAATTAAAGTGACTCAATCAGAGGCAAAGTAACTAATCTGGGATTCAAATATTAGCTGGTCTGATTCCAAAACTGATGACTTTTTTTTTCTTACCATACCATATGCATACCATTATGATTGAACCCTGAGGGATTTCAGATAACTGTTGTAATTATTATTATTAGAGAAATATTTTGTCTAAAAATAGATGGCAACAAAAAAATTAAGACATTATCTCTGTCTTTTAGAAGCTAATAGTCTGATAGAAAAAGGGTAGTTGAAACACTAGGAATTCCATGAATTATGGACTCAAGTTATATGGCATAACTCTAGGAAGGTTACAATAAAACAATCATTTATACATTACTGGCCACATGGAATTGATTTTAAGGCAATAGGGCAGTGTTAAGGGTATTAAAAATGTTCATAATCTTTAATCCAGTAATTCCCCATCTGCAAATTTATCTTAAGAAAATGATCTCAACGAATAAAAAATAAGTAGGCACAAATATTTTCTTTGCAACATAATAGTAAAAAATCAGAAGCAACTTAAATGAACATCAACAGTAAAAAGGATAATGTTACATCAACAGGAGATAATTGTTGTCTAATTCTCCCTCTCATTCCTGCATCATTAGTTCACCCTTTCTACTAGATTTTTCTAATTTATATTCAAATGTGTTATAATATTTCTCATATTAAAACAAAAGCTGAACAAATCCAAATATCCTGTTATTCAGCTACCATTCCTTTTTTTAATCTCCTTTATAAACAAAGGTCTCAAAAGAGTTGCCCATATTTATTGTTTCTAATAACGCTTTCCACCTCCCATTCTCCCTGTATCAGCTCCTGTTAAACTAAACCAGGATTGCTACATCCAATGTTCAATCCTTAATATTCCTCCTGTTGATCTTCCTTCTTAACACAAATGATTCCTTCCTCTGCCCTGATACCCTTTCCTGCCTAGGCTTCCAGGGTGCCACACTTTCTTAGTTTTTCTTCTCATTGGCCATTCCTTTTCAAGTTCCCTTTGCTTATTTGTCCTCATCTTCCTCACCTCTATACAATGGACAGCCCAATGCTCAATTCTTAGTCTCTTCTTTTCCTCTATAGTCTGAAATTTAGCAGGATCTCTCCCTTAGAACTCAAGACTCATGCATCCAATTGCATCCTTGACATACCCCCTTAAATAACCAACTGGATCTTGTCCACACTGAACTCCTGATTCCTACTCTACTCACCTCTACCCTACATCTGTTTCTCTGTCAATTCTCTTCCTTTCCGTAACTAGCAACTTCAATCTTTCATGTGCTCAGGTTAAAAAACCAGCCATCCCAGGAAGCGGAGGTTGCAGTGAGCCAAGATAGCACCACCGCATTCCAGCCTGGGTGACAGAAGGAGACTCCATCTCAAAAACAAGAGACAAAAAACAAAAACAAAAACAAAAAAACCAGCCATCATTCTTGTCTCCCTTCTTTCTCTCACCCTCCAGAGTTGGTAAAACCAGTTAGCATTACCTATCAACAATATTCAGAACAAGACCACTTCTACCACCTCCACATCTATCATGGGCCAAAGCCACATCTATCATGGACCAAAGCCACTGCCAAAGCAGTTCTCCCTGCTTCCACTCTGCTTTTATTGTTTATTTTCTGCAAAAACCTGGAGTAATTTTTGAAACCATAAATTAGATCATGTCAGTACTTTTTAAAAAACCCTCTGGAGGCTTCTAACTCATTCAGAATAAAATTAGAATCTGACATGGTCCTATTTGATCTCTCTAATAGCACCTCCCCATCTTCCACCACTCTTCTTTGACTTCCACTTCATTTATTCTAGTCTCCTTGCTGCTTTTCAAACACACCAAGCCCCCGCCAGCCTCAGAGCCTTTTTAAAAACTGTCTCACTGTTAGAAATCCTCTGAGATATATGCAGGGCTAACTCCCTCCCTTCATTCAGGTCTCTACTGAAACATTACCTTTTCAGAGATGCCTCCACTAATCAGACTCTTTTAGAATACCACGTTTCCTGTCACCGTCTGCCTGCTTACCTTGCTTTATTATTTTTTTCCTTAGCACTTCTCATCATTGATGTATTATATTCTGTTCCTATTAGAAGGTATGCTTCAAAAAAGCAAGGATTTTGACTGTTTTGCTTACTGATGATCCACAGAGCCTAAATAATGCTTGGCTTATGGCAGAAACTCAATAAATATCTTTTGGATGAATGAATAAAGCAGGTCTATAATATTAGGTAAAATAAACATAATGCAAATATATGTATATGGTAATTACAACTACATAAATATGTTAAAGTCTATAAGATGTAATGGTTTTTTAAGATACAAAAAAATGTAAAATAGTTGTGGGTGATGGAATTTGAATAAAATATTTTGTTGAGCTGATTTCAGATATTTTTAAAATACAAAATTACCATGTGTATCTGGAAAATGATTGTGGTTGACAGTTACAGAGAATGCAGTGGCTATTTTTGAGAAACGACTTGCTTCAACCACATATCTCAGAGGAAAAAAAACACAGTGATTTCAGAGTTAATACCACTCCCCACATTTGGACATCATCTCCCATTAGGTATAGCACACCAGTTAAGTGCTATGATTCAAAGTCAGACTGGGTCTGAAGCATAACTCTTCAACTCAGCTGGATAAACCTGGGCTAGTTACTTAACCTCTCACAAGGTCAGTTTCTTCATCTGAAAGAGAAGATAATGGTCTACTACGTCAGAGGTTGTTAAGGGGATTGATTGAGAAAGCTTCTAAGATGTGTAGGGTGTTGCCTGGAACCTAATATGTACTCAATAAATGTTACCATAAGATAGTTTTGTTATTATTAAGTTGGGCAGAGATTTTCAGCGATGAAATTCAAAATGGTTAAATGACAACTAATAAATGGCAGAATTAGGCCTTCTTACCCCATATTTAATTTTTCAACTATGTCATGTGGCTACTCTTCAGGTGACAAGTAAAGGTTGGACCCATTCTGCTTAGTATGGTTGTCTCTTGGTGAACTTTTCTGTCATATCTTGTATCTATGTCATAATTTACTAATAGTGGCATCTCATAAGTGATGTAAATTTCAAACTTATATCTTGCAATTAGCTTATTTTAAAAATATGGACAATAAGATGTAATTATTTTAAAGATAGTTTAAAACCTTTAAGTTTCAAATAATTTTCAAATTCTCATATAGGGGATAGGTATTAAGAAAAACACTAAATTTTGTACCCATGCTGACTTCTGTTATATGAGAGGTCTTCAAAATCTTCATGGAAAATGCATATTATGAAAAAAGATGCATCAATTTAAATTTTTTTTGCACAAAGTAAACTCAAATGAACTTGTTGTAACATGTCTGAACAGGATCTACTTTGAGGCACTAAGAATAATGAGATATCAGTTTGAAAAGAGCCCCTGTCAGAGCAACATTAATTCTTCCAAAATTGAAGAATTTTAGCAGAATTCTTTCCATTTAAGGAAAGACAAAAACCAAATTTATGGTGAAGTTTGGATAGAATAGTGAAATCATTAATGATCTACTAAAAGTTTATTGAGACAATGTACCAAAGAGATCAGCAGTTTACCAATGGATAACTCGTTTTAAGAAGGGATGAGACAATGTTGAATGTGAAGCCTGCAGTACAGATCATCATATCAATTTGCAAGGAAAATTTTTATCTTATTTGTGCCCTAATTGAAGAGGGACAATGATTAACAGCAGAAACAATAGCAAATACTATTGACATCTCAATTGGTTCAGGTTACACAATTCTGACTGAAAAATTAAAGTTGAGCAAAGTTTCAACATGCTGGGAATCAGAATCATGCTCAGATCAGAGCAGAGTTTTCAATGGAAATTCTAAATACGTGGGATCAGAATCCTGAAGCATTTATATGAAGAATTGTAACAGGAGATTAAACATGGCTTTATCATTTTTAATCTTGTACAATCTTAGAGACAAAGCATAATCAAAACAATGGCTACCAAGAGGTGGAAGTGGTCCAGTCAAAGCAA